>NC_000004.12:91648653-91951684 GCF_000001405.40 Homo sapiens | reverse complement strand
AATTTTGTATACTATTTTTGTCTTTCCTAAACCCGTGAACATCATGAGGGCACAGGCTGTGGATATAATCACTCTTATTTTTACTAATATTATCATGTTTAGCAGCTGAACCTAAGGAGTCATTAGTCATATGGTTAAAAGAGAAAATATAGGAAAATACATGTATTCCTGGACAATAATGTGGAAGGGATAAGTACAGCTTCCAATTTTTTTAATACCTTTAGACTCATTTCTATGACATATCCTTAAGAATAGGATACTCTGTTGGCGTAGAATTGAAAGTAGTATCTTGAACTTGAGGTATGATTAAAAATGGCCTTAAGAATATGAGATGTTTATGAAAAATAATAAAGATTAAAATATGGTAATTTTAAAGCCAAAAACAGATTTTATTTGTAATAATGTGTAAAACTAGAAAATGCATTTGAAAGCACATGGTTTTTTAGTTCTTTTTCAAAATTTAACTTTAATTTTTAATTTTGTGGGTACATAGTAGGTGTATTAGTCTGTTCTCACGCTTATAATTAAGACATATCAAGATTGGGTTATTTATAAAGGAAAGAAGTTTAATGGATTCACAGTTCCACATGGCTAGGGAGAACTCACAATCATGGCAGAAGGCAAAGGAGAAGCAAAGGCATGTCTTACATGGCAGCAGGCAAGAGAGCTTGTGCAGGAGAACTCACATTTATAAAACCATCAGATCTCATGAGACTTATTCCCTACCATGAGAACCATATGGGGGAAACTGCCACCCATGATTCAGTTATCTCCACCTGGCCCTGCCCTTGACATGTGGGGATTATTATTACAATTCTATGTGAGATTTGGGTGGGGACACAGCCAAACCATATCAGTGGGTATACATATATTTATGAGGTGCATGAGATGTTTTGATTCAGGCATGCAATGTGAAATAAGCACATCATGAAGAATGGGGTATCCATCCCCTCAAACATTTAAGGTTTCTTAGTTCTAGAACCACCAAAAATTTGAAAACTGAGTATCATAAATATAAAATGGAATCATAATCAATAAACAGGCAACAGAATTTTACAGTAACTATCGTTCTGTGGGAACCAATATTTTGTGGTTTTTTTATGAAATAATGTGAAATATTGCTTTTATTGTAAGCAACATTTTACTGCTATAGAATCTTTCTTTAGAACTGCAGCTTTCAATATTGTGTGTGTTTAATGTACATATACACACATATATACATGTATACATACATATATATGTGTGTTTGTGTATCTAAGATCTATACTGAGATACTTATTATATCATAACACAGGATACTAACTATATGTATGTCATAAATATATGTATGTACATATATATATATACATATTTAAACAAATTTTTTAGATAGGGTCTCACTCTGTTGCCCAAGCTGGAGTGCAGTGGTGCTATCATGGCTTACTGCAACCTCAACCTCCTGGGCTCAATTGGTTTTCCTACCTCGTGCTGGGGCTACAGGCATGTACCACTACACCTGGCTAATTTTTTATTTTTACGTTTTGTAGACACAGGTCCTTCCTAGGTTGCTCAGTTTGGTCTAGATCTCCTGAGCTCAAGTGATCCTCCCACTTCAGCCTTCCAAAGTGCTGGGATTACAGGCATAAGCTACCACACCTGGCAACAGTAACATATATTTTTTGAGTACATGCCTTTCTATGTATGAAACCAAAGTTTTGCAAAAGAATGTTATCTCTAATTTTATGCATTGAACACTGATGCTTTCTTTATTCTCTTGGTTTATACTGCTTATAATGTGGTAACAAAACAATATATCTTTATATGACATGGAGTGGAATAGAAATGAAGTATCATGGAAAGCATGTCTCTTCTTTTTAAATATACTATAAGTTAGATTATACATTTAGTCTCTCATGCTTAAAGCACCATATACTTTATGGAATGTAGAATAAAAAGAATAATTTGAGGAAGTAAATTTTCTCAATATAGAAATTGTGTATTAGAACCCTAGGAATTGTATAAATGTAAGAGTAGAAAACTATATCTCCAATATGTAATCTTCACAGCACAAATTTTATCACTTGACACCAAAAAAACAGTCTATATGTCTATATAGAGAAAAATGTTATGTTAAATTTCACAAAAAATCTGGTTTTTAAGGGCATTTTAAGTCAATGAAAAGACATGTCACATAGTAATAATATATGTTTTTAAATCTTATAATTTTTTTATCCAGAATATATAAAGAGCTCTCAGAACTCAGTGATAAGAAACACACACCACAATTCCAGGAATATATTTGACAGACATTACACAAAAGAAGATATATAAATAGGAAATAATCAGATAAAATGATATGCAAGCCTTTAGTCATTAAGAAAACGCCAGTTAAAACCACAATTTGATACAACTATACATCTTTCAACTGAAGAATATGAACTGTCACTCTGATGCACTGATGATGAGAATGTTAAATGGTACAACCACTCTGAAAAACTTGCAGTTTCTTAAAAAGTTGAATAAATAACTTCTACATGATCCAGCCATTACACTCCAGGGTATTTATCCGAGAGGAATAAAATCATATGCCGGTACAAAGCATATGTATACAGATGTTCTTAGCAATTTTTTTTTGCAGTAACTAAATCTGAAATCAACTCAAATGGCCATCAGTTGTTAAATAAACAAATTGTGATATATCCATACAACGAATACTTCTCAGCAATGAAAAAGGAAAAAGTGAAAACATCTATAAATATTAAAATAATTATACTGAAAAGTCAAACAAAAAATACACACCCTATGATTCCAATTTATAAAATTTTATAAAATGCAAACACATCTAACATAATGAAAAGCAGATTAATGGTTTATCTGGGATAGATTGGGGAGAAGGGTAGGAGTAAAAGGTTAGAATTGAGCATTAGGAAATTTTGGGGAATAATAAACATCTTGATGATGGTGATCAATTACTATATATATGTATGTTTTAATTTCACATGTTAAATATAAATTCATTGAATATTAATAACACCTCAGTAAACATTAAAATCAATCAACTGTTGAGAATATTATTATTGATAATTTTACAAAACTGATGAATACCATAATTTTGTGCCACAAATTTATTAAACAGCATGAACCTCAAGTAGGTAAAATGCAAACAAAACCCCATGCACCATGATGAAATTATTTAAATCAAAGACAAAGATAAATTGCTAAAATCTGTTTAAAAAGAATAGGCATATTTCTTTAAAGCAGCAGCAATAAGACAGCAGGTTACTTAACGGAAATAATGCAGTAGTCAGAACGTTGTCTTCCTAATGTCTACACCCAGAAAATTAACCTTAAAAATAATTACTGATAAAACAAATTGAAAGCAAAAAGAGAAAAGATTCAACACACCCTCAATAAATGAAGTCCAGGCAGAAAAAAAAATTCACCTTTCAAATAAGGAATATCAATATTATTTGGTAAAGTTTTTCAGACAATAAATTAAATAATGAGAATCCACCCACCAACACAGCTAAAAATAAACTAATTACAACACTAAGTAATGACAAAAAATATAGAGAAACTGGAACCTTTATGTATTTATTCCTGGTGGGAGTGAAAATTAGAATAATTCCTTTGGAAAATGTTTTGGAAGTATCTATTATGGTTTATCCTATAACCCAGGGACTCCACTGTTGGATATATATTTAAAATATTTTTGAACATACATTCGTAAAAGGACATGTACAACACTGTTATTTGAAGCATTATTTATAATAGCTAAAAATTGGAAAGAAACCAAATGCTTATTAGTATTAGGATGGATAAATAAATGTAGTATATTCAGGTTAACAAATAACAGCAATAAGAACAAATGAATTATAGCCTCACACAAATACTACTGAGTAAAATTAAACAAACACAAAAGGGTACATAAATATATTTCAACATATATAAACTGTAAAAGGAGTTAAAATCATTCAGTGTTTTTAGAAGCCAGGATAATGGTTTCCATTGAGGCAGGAGTGTGTGGGTGGTTGGCTACTAGATGCAAAGGGCAGGGGTTCTGCAAGTGCTAATGATGCTCCTTTTAAATATTTGTTTGGTGACTACACAAATGTGTTCAAATTTTGAATATTTATTGAACTGTGGACTCTTAACTTGTATGCTTTTCTTTATGTATGCTGTACTTTATTTTAAATGTTTTTAATGTCATGCAAGCATAAAGTTAGATCGGTCTACTTAGAAAACGTTCTTGGGAATTGGACATGTAATAGCAAAGAAAATCAGTAGAACATTTTAATAATAAAGTTTATAAAGTCTCACTGAAGCATGACAAAATTAAATGTTATGGAAAATAGAAGGTAAATGTTAAGAAAATCAGAGTATCAGAACAGGAACCAATATCTCTTACTAGCTATACTAGAAATGAAGTAGAGAAAACAGAGAAGGAAAATTATCAAATACAGCCTTGCATCACTTAAAGACAGGGTATGTTCTGATGACTAGGTCGTTAGATGATTTCGTCATTGTAAGAACATCATAGAGTTTATTTACACAAATGTGGATGTACAGTCTACTATACACCTAAGCTATTATATATGGTATAGCCTATTGCTCCTAGGCGACAAACCTGTACAGCATGTTACTGCACTGAACACTGTAGGACACTGTAACACAATATTAAGTACTTGTGTATATAAATATATCTAAATGTAGAAAAGATTCAATAAAATTCAGTATCATAATCCTATGGGACCACCCTTCTACATGTGGTCCATTGATCAACATGTCATTATGCGGCAGTTGAGTGTAAATACTGCTAGAATAAAAGTAGAATGTTTTTTAATTTTAATTTTTAATTTTTTTATTTTTTTGAAACGGAGTCTCACTCTGTCACCCTGGCTGGAGTGCAGTGGCACGATCTCTGCTCACTGCAAGCTCCGCCTCCCGGGTTCACGCTAGAATAAAAGCAGAATTTAAGAGCATATGTCTGCAGATTTAAAGTTCTCTTTGTCTCCAGAAAAATTAATAAGAAAGGATCAGCAAGAAACAATGTTATAAAATTTCAGAACATCAAAATATAAAAGTGAATTGAATAATCATATAGAAATGTCGAGTTAAAATGGCACTGATAGCAACATTATAATATAGAAAATAGTAGCATAAAGCCTTTAAGTCATCCCTTAATTCTAAATCTGCACCTTTTCTATACTAAAACAAGCTACCAATCAAATTGAGTGTAAAAAAATTTTTCGGACACTATGTTTTCCAAAATATGTATTTCACATGCAAACTTTCTCAGGTGATTTAGCAAAACAAGAGAGTAAACCAAATAACAAGAAAATATAAAATTTAAGAAGTGGAATCTACCTCAGGAAAGAAATGAAGAAAGATATCAGAACATCGAGGTGGCAGAAATTGAGAGTAATTATAGTGGGAATAAAGAGAGCTTCTGAAGTGGAATTTCTGGGAAAAAAAATGGAATGAATGTGATCAAAGCATAATGACATAATATTTAGTAGAAGACAGAGGTACTGGAATACTCAACACAAAATAAACAATATATAGAAAAACAAGGTAATTCCATAAAAAATTTGCATAACAAGTTTTCTCAGGTGTAAATATTAAATAATCATATTAATAAAATTAACAATGAATCAAGTTTTTAATATAACTCGTACTGAGTGAGGATAGAGGCAAAGGATATCCTTCTGCAGCGAAAATATTAAGGTCTCAACTTCATTGTCAAGACATTGATAATGTCTAAAGTTAATACATGAAAAAATAATATAAATATATTCATCTGAAATATGGAGGTAAATAGCATAAGAATAACTTGGGGACTAAAGGTGATTCTTTTGATAAGCAAAAGACTTCTACTTTTCACCATAATCCTTTAGTACAATTTTAATGTATATCAGAATAATTAAACTATGATAATAAAATAGTGTAAGGTAAAAGAGTTTTATTTTATTTCATAGAATGTCACTGTTGGAATAATTTTAAGAAAATATTTCAGAGTGCTACCTTTAACACAGTTAGGAATTTTCATTTGATACATAAGATAGTAGATAAGAGAGGAAATTTAAAGTGGAAAGGGGCAGAAGAAGCTACTATGAAGCTGTTTTGCTAATCTTGGTTAAGTTTGTAAATATTTTAAATTCTTGGTTAAAGTGATGAAACAGAAATCAGTTGGAATTCAGTTAATGTAATTGCCAGACATTAGGTTTTTTTAAAAAAAGGATGCAAAGAAGAATTTGGAATCTTAAGGTACAATCAAATGAAGATAACTGGGGAAAAAACCTACCATAATCAAAGAATAACACAAATGTATAGTGAAATTAATTAATATCCTCCGACACTTTGGGATTATGCAGAATATTCTCCCTTGCATCTCTCTCTCTCTCTCTAGTAAAGGAATATAGGGAGCTGTAACACTTCCTAAAGAAGGGAGATAAGGAGGATCAGTAACAGATCTGAAGACGAGAAAAAGAATAAAGGGATAGGAGAAGACAAATGTTTAAAAATACCAGTAGGAAATCCTGACTTGACAAGGCATCCACATGAAAGAGAGTAGGCAGCAGATTTTACTGAACATCTTGAGACTAATTATAAAGGTGTAAAAGTGAAATATAGTAGGAAAAATAATTTACAGACATATAATCAGGTGGCGAGGTATTTTATGCAAACTGCAAAACAAAAGTAAGAGATAAATATCAAAATTACTCATAGCAGAGCTACTCGTTGACAATATAAAATGCTAAAATATAATGGGTAAGAGCTTAATGAGAAAACAAGTAAAATTGCCCTACTTAACAGCTAATTAAAAATTGGAAAGACAGTGAATTTATTCTTATTCCTATTATGTTTGTATGTCAGTCTAATTGTAGCTGAAAGAGTACACTCTCTATCTTCAGTTTCTCTCTTCCCTTTTCTTTTGAAGTTATTCCACCAGATTTTTATCCCTATAATTCCAGGAAAACTGTTACTGTCAGTTTCCCTATTTTGCAATATTGATCATTATTGCTCATATCTCATGTTATGTCAGCAACCTTTATCACATCAGTTCTTTGCTCTATCTTGAAACACTTTTTGCATTTAAATTTCCAAGGGGAAACTCTTCCATTGGTTCACTGTGTACATTATGGATAGTTTATTTTGAGTGTCCTTTTCTGATTTTTCCTCATGTCCAGATGTTAGAGTGCTGAAGACCCAGTGCTATACTCCCTTCTTTAATTGATGATTATAGGTTTAAATACAATTAAGAAGTTTTAAATGTCACTCTATGTCTCAGACCTTTTTCATCAACTTCAGATTTATAAATTTAACTGCCCACTCTACGTATCTACTTGAATGACTGATAGACATTAAAAACTGAACTCTAGGACATCCCCCCAAAACCTACTCTTCCACTGCCTTCCTGAAGTAAATTAAGTCAATCGATGGCAATCTTTTTTTTTTTTTTTTTTTTTTTTTTTTTTTGAGACAGAGTCTCGCTCTATTGCCAGGCTCTGGAGTGCAGTGGCGCCATCTTGGCTCACTGCCAACTTCTGCCTCCTGGGTTCAAGCGATTCTCCTGCCTCAGCCTCCGAGTAGCTGGGACTATGGGTGCCAGCCACCACGCCCAGCTAAGTTTTGCAATTTTGTATTTTTAGTAGAGACGGGGTTTTACCATGTTGGCCAGGATGGTCTCCATCTCTTGACCTCATGATTCGCCCACCTCGGCCTCCCAAAGTGCTGGGATTACAGGCGTGAGCCACTGCGCCCGGCCAGTTGATGCCAATTTTATCCTTCCAATTGCTTAAGTCAAAAAACTCCAGAGTAGTCTCTGATATGTCCTTTAATCTTATACCCTAATTTATTAGCATAGTACTGCTGTAGCCACTTTTACAACTTAACCAAGAATCTGGTCATTTCTTATTATCTCTCCTACTGCTTCTGGACTCCATGGACCACTGGAATAATTTCCTAATTGAGAGTGCCACTCTAATTCTTAAATTCCTTTCATTCTATTTGCTATGTAGAAGATAGAATGCAACTTTTAAAACATGAGTATGGTTTAACACTTGTCTGCTAAAAACCGTATGAAATCCAAATAAATTCTAAAATAATTGCCATGATCTACTAGAGGAAGATAAATAGCAGATGCCTGGTTCTAACTCATGCATCATTTCTTACTTCCTTTCTCCTTCTCATTTGCTCACTGAGCTTCAACTCTACAGGCCGTGCTGCTTTTAGAACATATCACACATTCTCTGGGGTCTATGCCAGTTATTCCCTTACTACCCTACTTAAAATATTAATTCTCGGCCGGGCACAGTGGCTCATGCTGGTAATCCCAGCACTTTGGGAGGCCGAGGCGGGCGGATCACGAGGTTAGGAGATCGAGACCATCCTGGTTAACACGGTGAAACCCGTCTCTACTACAAATACAAAAAATTAGCTAGGTGTGGTGGCGCGCACCTGTAGTCCCAGCTACTCGGGAGGCTGAGGCAGGAGAATCGCTTGAAGCCAGGAGGCAAAGCTTGCAGTGAGCCGAGATTGTGCCACTGCACTCCAGCCTGGGTGACAGAGTAAGACTTTGTCTCAAAAAAAAAAAAAATTAATTCTCTCCATCATGCCACTACTTAGCTTTATTTTTCTTTATAATGTTTATCACTTATCACTGCCCCTTTCCTTCTAATTCAAAATGTAAAATTATTAAGGGTAGAAACTTTATCTTTTCAATGTTCTGTCCCAAGTGTTTAAAACACAGAGTAGATATTTAGTAAACATTCAATGAATAATCTTATTATCTCTCACAGTGATGTGACATGTAAATGTGACTTACTCTCTTGTTACTTGTTGTTAAGACAAAGTTAGAAGTAAATAGGCTCAAAGTTTGGCTCTATGAAATTTACAAGAATAGCTGTAACATAGTTTCAGAATCTCCATGCTATCTATTTTATTTGGCAAGATGCTTCCATGGTTCTATAGCATAAGAAGGAAGAGACTGCTATGTCAGTCACTTAGAGAAGGAGATTATGCGGTATGTCATCCAGGCAAACCAATATTTATCCAATCTGCTAACACACTCAACTGAAGTAGTTTTTGTTATTGCTTTTGAGGATTAGCCTTATAGGTTTTCTTCTTATACTCAATAGACTCAATCTTGAGTGTAAAAGAGCTAGAGAGAAAGAGAATCACCAAGGGAAAGTAAGATAAGAAGAGAGCCTTTCCAACTTAATTTAACTTTCAAATAATTGAGATATTTGTATCCCCACTTGAACCATTAGAGAGGTACTAAGGATTTGAACAGTAAATAAAAACTAGTTTCAATTTAGTAGTATACAACAAATGTATACATTCGTTCTAAATAGATCTCACTTATTTTCAACCTAATGCTTTTCATGTATAAAGAATTAGTCCTAATTTGTAAATATTCCAATATTAAGACAATTTTAAAAATACTTTAAATGCAATATCCAAAATATTAGTTATATTTTTTATTCACACACTTATAATAAAAACATTATTCTTGATTTTTTCTGTTGCAAACTAAAACAAGGATTTGAAAAGCAATAGAAATTCTCCATTATTTAAGAGTAGCAGGAATAAAATCATTCTAAAATTAACAAGTATTATTTGGTTTCATTTTCTCCTCCCTCTGATGGATATGTGCTATATCAGTCAGAGCGTGTAAAACAAATTGTCCTGTGTGTTTTACTTCTCCCTAGACCTAAAACTGTTTCTTGGTCTAACATGCTTGTCACCTTCTTTATCAATGCATAAGGTCTTCCAAACATCTTCCAAATGTTAACCATGCAAATAGTTTTCTTATGAAGAAGAAAAAGATGGACCTTGTTTTAGTGAAATTTTTACAATTTTGCAAATGTCAAAACCCTCAAGAAATTCACACTTGATTACTCTAACAGATAAACAAAGATAAATATTTCTCCGCATTTTTGCTGTTACAACAGGAGGCTATTGTTTTTCTTTTTTAAAAAAATGCAAAATGATCACATCAAATTTATTATGGAAATTTGCTTAATTAAATTATCTAGATGAGCAATTAGTTTAAATATAAATTATACCATATTGCTTAGATATATTTTGTCATCATTAGCTGTTCTCTTGGTATCCTTAATATAATTTTGATAGAAAAGAATCTGAAAAAGTTGATGGGACCCAATTCATTAATTTGTCATAAAATGTTGAGGAGTATCTTGGTGACAGTTACAGAAAGTAAGATATGTTTTTATTTTTTATCTGCTTTGAGGATATGACCATAATGTGTATGCCTGTTCTTTGTTCTATGGGGATGCAGTTCTAGGAGGCGCTATGTTCTATGGGGAAATATTTATCAAGACCATTTAAACAAAACAACTCATGCATCCCTTATTTTTTTTTAACTTGTTTTTAAAAATGATTCCTGGCTTATGGATGCTGGTATATAAATCTTTCAATGTAATTATTTGTACATATTGAGGTCTTCCTACTAGTGTCCTATATAAGCTAAGAAAGGGCACTGTAATGATTAATGGTGAGTGTCAACTCGATTGGATTGAAGGATGCAAAGTATTGTCGCTGGGTGTATCTGTGAGGGTGTTGCCAAAGGAGATTAACATTTGAGTTAGTGGACTGGGTGGGCACTATCTAATCAGCTGCCAGGGTAGCAAGGATAAAAGCAGGCAGAGGAACATGGAAAGACTAGATTGGCTGAGTTTTCCAGGCTTCATCTTTGTCTCATGCTGGATGCTTCCTGCCCTCAAACATTGGACTGCAAGTTCTTCGGCTTTTGGACTCTTGGACCTACATCAGTTGTTTGCCATGAGCTCTCGGGTCTTTGGCCACAGACTGAAGGCTGCACTCTCGGCTTCTCTACTTTTGTGGTTTTGGGACTCGGACTGGCTTCCTTGCTCCTCATTTTACAGATGGACTACTGTGGGACTTCAACTTGTGATCGTGTGAGTCAATACTCCTTAACAATTTCCTTTCACATATACATCTATGCTATTAGTCCACTCCCTCTAGCGAACTCTGACTAATACATGGACATAATATAAAGTATTGGCTTTTCCTAGAAAGAGGTGGGAAAAACACCATAGATATATATATATGGTATCTCAGATGACATTGTTAAAATGAAATGAAAGCAATGCACACTTTTCTTTCTGGAACACACTAATAAATTGGGAAGTCAGATTCAGTTATGTGCCATGACTTACTTCTGGAAACAATGTTGTCAGCTATGTTTGTGTTGTAATAATTTCTTATAATTGGAGGTATGGAAGAACCTACTAATATCACATTTGGCATATAGTTTGTGTTGCCAAATTATTTGTTGTATCTATTGTTGAATCTGGACCTTTCTTTGTCATATGTTTAAGAAAAAACAAGCTTACCTCATCTTTATTTGGGGAGGATTAAATTTCTCCCAACAGCTGTGCAATGCAAAATTTCTATAATTACTGTATGGGGAATTTTGATCAATTTCATATAGGTATATCTTAGTAAAACATAATACTCAAACGGCAAATTAAGATTTTGTATTCAGAATAGTTATACCATTAAAAATCACACAACTTAATTGTACTGGTTCCTTTATTCAAATTAAGATGTTACAATACAAAAACATTGTTCTAAATGTAGGCTTATAATGAAAATCATACTATTCCATACACTTGCATAAATGACTTAAACAATTGAGAGACAATATTTCCCAAATAGTATACCATAGAGTTAATAACTGAAACACACCATGAAAATGCTCTGTGGTCAAACAGATTTGGGCAATGCTGGTTAAGTAAAGTTAAAGAGTTGGTTTTGCAATATGACTTCTCAGAGCTGTTAATATGTTAGTATATATTTGAATACTCAAGAGGGAGCTATAAGCAGTAAGCAAAATTTTTTTTAGAATATATTTGATGAAGAAATTATTTTTAGATGGAAATCTATAAGGCTGTTGTTTTATATAAAAAAAGGAAGGCATTAATCTTTCTCTTCTGAAATGCCAAACTTCAATGATGAGTCCTGCAAACTGGTTCCTTATGGCACGATGCTATCCAGGAATAGGATAGCATTGATATAGGATTGGCTATGTGTTCGTATCTGAGTGTTAGCATGACATTTGCATGCTGTGTCATGGACTGAGAATCTGGGTTAGGTTGTCCTGACAGCAAACGCAATTGTGATATTGTCAGTATACCACTCTCTCTATTTACTCATCTAAATGAACCACTCTACAAGAAACCTTTGAAATTTAATAAATTCAACTCATATTGAACTCACAATTTAATTTTAATTCATATTTACGAGCTATTGAAAAAACATTCCACTCACTTGAAAATTCAAAACAAAAATAAGAGTATTCTTTATTCCATAATTGTACCATGACTGAAAATATTAAATAAAAACAAGACAAGAACTTGTCTCTAAAGAACTTTAGGGAGTCCATTTCTCAAAAAACTATGCCATACTATAGATTCTTCAATATTTGCAAATACTTTACTTCCACAGTTTTGTTAAATTTCTACATGAGAAATGAGGATAAAAAGAATTGAACTAGAGTTTCCACTTTAGAGAGGCATTATAGTGCCCTTGTCTTACTTTGGTATCATGGTAATATGGACCTCATAAAATGACTTTGGAAATGTTCCTGCCTCTTTAATTTGTTGGAAGAGTTTGAGAAGAATTGATATTAATTTTTAAGAAAAATATTTGGTAGAATTCACTTGGGAAGTCACCTGGTAATGGCCTTTTTTTTTTTTTTTTTTTTGGTGGGGGAATTTTTCATTACTGATTCAATCTCTTTACTAATTATTGGTCTTTTTGGATTTTCTGTTTTTTCATGATTCAGTCTTGGTAGGTTATATGATTCCAGAATTAGCCATTTCTTCTAGAATATTGAATTTTTTTGAGTATAATTATTCATAATAGCCTCTTATGATCTTCTCTATTTCTGTAGTATCAGTTATAAGTCTCTTATTTCATCTGTGATTTTACATGAGTTTTCTCTCTTAGTCTAGCTGAAGTTTATTAATTTTGTTTATGATTTCAAAAAAATGCTTAGTTTATTTTTCTTTTCTATTGTTTTTCTAAACTCCATTTCATTTATTTCTGCTCTGATCTTTTTTCCCTTCTACTAATTTTTTACTTAGTTTGTTCTTCTTTTTTATTTCCTTAAGATGTAAAGTTAGATTGCTTATTTAAAATCTTTCTTTTTTCTTAATGTAGGCATTTATCATTATAAGCTTCCCTCCTAGGGCAGTTTTTGCAGTATCCCATAAGTTTTAGTAGTGCTGTCTTTCTATTTCTGTTTGTCTCAAGATAGTTTTTTAAATTTCCCTTTTGATTTCTTCATGGACCCATAGATTGTTCAGGAGGGTGTTGCTGAATTTTCATAGTTTTGAATCTTCTAGTTTTCCTATTATTGATTCCTTGTCATTCTCTTTGGAAAAGACGATTGATACAATTTTAATCTTCTTAAATATTTTAAGAGCTAGGAGTTGTTTTGCGGTCTTACATATGATTTACCCTGGATAATGTTTCCTGTGCACTTGAGAAGAATGCATATTCTGTTGCTCTTAAATAACATATTCTGTGTATGTCTGCCAGTCACATTTCGTCTGAAGTACAGTTCAAGTCCAACATTTCCTTACTGATATTCTGTCTGGATATTCTAGTCGTTATTAGAAATGGGGTACCAAAGTCCCCTACTATTATTGTATTGTAATCTATTCTTCCCTTCAGATTTGTTAATATTCGCTTTACATATTTAGGTGTTCAGATGTTGGGTGCATATATAGATAGATAGATATGTACTTGTTATATCCTCTTAATGAATCAACCTCTTTATCACTATATAATGACGTTCTTTGTCTCTTATTGTAGTTTTTGATTTAAAGTCTATTTTTTTCTGATATAGGTATGGCTGCCCTTGTTTTCTTTGGGTTTTCGTTTGCATGGAATATGTTTTATCATACCTTCACTTCCAGTCTATGGGTGTCCCTAAAGCCAAATTTACTCACTTGTAGACAGCATATGTTAGGACTTTTTAAAAATATATTTGTCCACTTTATGTATTTTGACTAGAAACTGCGTCTTGTTGGTTATTGAGATAACTATGACAATAGACTTAAGGTTTTCTTTTTTCTTCTTTTTTTTTTTTCTTGCTTCCTCCTCTGCTAACCATACAAAAGAAGAGAAAGTCATTCCTAGCAGAAGTTGCATGTCTTCAGAAATGAATGAATAGACCATCATAATTTCAGGATTGATTTAGCTAACTTGCCTAAGAAACATGCATAATTAGCATCTCTCCATAAAAAAATTAAATTAGAACATAAATTTTATGTATTCACTTATTTTTGTCTTTGTCTTCTTAGAATTAATTTTTAAGTTATCAATTCTTTATAAGGGCTTTTCTTTTAAAAATCAATTTTCCAAACTTCAGCATTTTTTTGCAACATTATTTGTACTACAGACATACTTAGTTACAACTATAACTGTTAGTTTCATCTCAGTGGTTAGATTTTGAAATATTTTTACTGAAAATATTTTGAAAATACTAAAAAAGTAGATAGACTAAACAAGCATTTGGGTTTATACCACTAAGATCTAACAAAAGTTAATGTTTTGCCTTGTTTGTTTCAGATCTTTTTGTCATTTTAATAGAATGAGGCATTACAATTATAAGCAAAGCTTCCTACATTCTAATTGTTTTCTTCCCATACACATAAACTATTCTGAAATTTGCATGTCATACTGTCCATTTATGTTTTAGTAGTTGTTTTATGTGTGTATGTATGCAATTTGAATGAAGTTGAGATGCAAAAGAGAGAGAGAGAGACAGAGAAACTACTGGACATTTGCAGTTTCTGGACCCACATGTAAAGAACTTTAAAGTTGTCTTTTCTATCTACATAACATAAAAAAAATTTTTTTTGAACAAACTGAAAATCAAGAACTCATATTAGATCCATCACAGAATTAAGTTTGCAAGGCAAACTACTAACTGAAAATTGGAAAGACGGGTCAACACAAAGAATCACACCTCACAGGAAACAGAAACCACTGCTGGAGAGGTAGGAACACTTAAAAGGTAATTGACTGAATTATTTAAAAGGTAAATGACAGAAGACTGAGCATGGACCAGCTTGAAATTAAAACTCCCGGGAGCTCAGCTTTAGGGAAGCCCTACATGTTCATGAGTCTGGGAACTCTGCCAGATTCTCTGGGTGAAGATACATGAAAAATTCTCTCATGCTCCTGATGAAGGGAAAACGTAACTATTTGAAGTACATCCAGAGTACTCTGTTTTCCTTAGCAAATTTTTCTCCTCAAATGAAAGTATGTAACCAAAGGGCAACTTATTTGGGCTTTACTAGAGCCTAATCCAAGTAGGGGTAGGAAAATACACAACTGCAATTTCCCTTACCGTTTTGGTCTCACCTAAGGGGAATAAAAGCTAAGTACTTGTGAAAGTCCACAGCACAGGGATACAGACTCACTAAAAGACTGAGAACTAATCATAGGATTACATAATGCTTCCACTTCCCCCACACCTTACCAACACATTAGTAGGGTTCTTTTGTATTAACAAGGGACTGTAGCTTAAAAATAACTGAAACTCAGACCATATTAACCAGATTCTAGGAAAACCCAAAGACAGCAGAGGAGAAAAATACAAAGATACTAGAGAAAAATTTTAGCTTCTGACACCACAGCTAGAACATACAATAAACAGCCGAGCTACCAATCAGCTAAACATAAAACCCCACATTAAAAAACCAATTTACCTTAGTTCCTTATTTCGATATATCATAGCTGGTTTTTAACAAAAAATTACAAGGTATATTAAAAGGCAAAAAACACAACCTGAGATACAAAATAAGCATCACAAGCAGACTCAGATATGACAGAGAATTTGGTATTATCAAATCAGGAATTGAAAATAATTATAATGAATATGCCAAGGGCTCTCGTGGAAAAAGTGAACAGCATCAAAGAAAAGATGGGTAATTGTAGGAGTTCAGTCAGGATGGTGGGAGAAATTGTAAAATAGAAACAAACTTTCTTGGAAGGCTGGAAGCTTTTGCAAAAGCCTCAGATAGGGTTATGGCCGAAGGCAGCCCAATCCTCTTACCTTGAGATAATAGCTTAGAATAGGTACAAAGGAATGTAAGGGAGTTTATCTAAAGAGCTTGTTTACTCATGTGGTCCTAAGACTGACCTTTGATCATTTGTAGGACTGCTCCCTCCGGGGAGGGTGACCATGTTAATTATCCACAAGTGTGGTGACTCAAAGCCTTTGTCATTAAAGCTATACTGAATAAATGCCTGCAGCGCCAGCTTGCTGGGGTTGCGGCTGCTGACTCTTAACAGCACCCTCCTTGGTGTCTGTGGGCAGCCTGGTCTCCTAGCCTGCTCTTTCACTGGATATTGGTGTCAGAGTGCATTTGTTCATCCGTTGTTCGGCCAGTGTCTGTGGGTCAGACCTGGCAGGTAATGTAAGTAGAAAGATGGAAATTGTAAGAAAGTATCAAAATCAAATGCTAGAATCGAAAACACTGAAACAAAAAAGATTGCATTTGATGTGATTCACTCAACAGGAGACTGGACATGGCCAAGGAAAGAATCAGTAAACCTATGATATGGCAATAGAAACTTCACAATATGCAAAGCTAATTTAAAGAATAATGCAACAAAGCAATACAATACAGTAAAGTGCATCCAACAACTGTGGGTCAGTTGCAACAGGTGTAACATAGGTGTTATAGGAGTACTGTAAAGAGAATTAAAGAAAGAAAGGAACAGAAGAAATAATTGAAGTAATGTTGACTGATAATTTTAATAATAAATCCAGGTACCTCAAGAAAGAGCAGAATAAATACTTCCCAAAATATACTCCGAAACATATCATATCCAAATTTCAGGAAAGCAAATCTAAGACAAAAATCTTGAAGGATGCCAGACACTGTGGGAGATCTTACCTACAGAGGAAAAAAATATAAGAATTATGTATGCCTGGCTGAGCACAGTGGCTCATGCCTGTAATTCCAGCACTTTGGGAGGCCAAGGTGGGCGGATCACAAGGTCAAGAGATCGAGACCATCCTGGCCAACATGGTGAAACCCTGAAACCCGTCTCTACTAAAAATACAAAAATTAGCTGGGCGTGGTGGGGTATGCCTGTAGTCCCAGCTACTCGGGAAGCTGAGGCAGGAGAATTGCTTGAACCTGGGAGGTGGAGGTTGCAGTGAGCTGGATATGCCACTGTGCTCCAGCCTGGCATCAGAGCGAGACTCCAACTGAAAAAAAAAAAAAAAAAAAAAGAATTACATATGCCAGTCCTCAGAAACCATGAAAGCAAGGAGAGAGTAGAGTGGGATATTTTAGCTGTGGAAAGAAGTAAAACCCACCAACCTAGAGTTCTGTATACAGTGATATTATGAAGTATTTAAAAAAAAAAAAAACTGATGTAAACTTGCCCTGCATGACATACTTTTTAAAAAAATTATTCAAAAAGAAAAATGATACAGCGCAGAAATTTGGATCAAGATAAAGGCAAAGCATAAGAAAAATAATAAATGAAGGTAAAAGAAAAATATTATAAGATACTTTAAGTCAAACACGGAAGAATTATTACATACATTTATATCTTCTGTATTTCAAGTCCTCATTAAAAGAGTAGAAAAAGAAACAAAGAAGGAGGCTAAACATAGAACAAAGGGGAGCATGGGAACCATCAACAAGAGGGAGATTGTGTCGAATATTTAGGAGACAGTCAGCAGATCAAGGATCCTCCAGTCATGCTCCGGTTCTGCAGTCAGATGTGCAACTTCCCTGACTACACCAAGTTAGAGGAGGCAACAACTGGGGTATGCATGGAAGGAACTGTGACTAAAGGAGTTGCAATTTTTCCTGAAGAACCTCAGAGAGGTCAGGGTCTCAGAAGCTCCAAGACTAAGAGAGGGCAGCAAGTAACCAATGGATTTAT
Source organism: Homo sapiens (assembly GCF_000001405.40). Lineage (NCBI taxonomy): Eukaryota > Metazoa > Chordata > Mammalia > Primates > Hominidae > Homo > Homo sapiens. The sequence goes on along the minus strand of NC_000004.12, from coordinate 91,933,732 downwards.
TGAAAATCTGTATGAGAACTGATTATTCCAACCTTATTGTCACATCTCTATGAGTAGTGTGTCTGAGGGCTAAGCTTCTAAACACCAGGCTAAAAAACGTATCTAAAGAAATTGGATTAACGACCTTGGAAAAAAAGTTTGTATACTCCTTGACCCCTAAAGCAAATAGCTCCATATTTTCACATTATATGTCTTCCAACATACCGATCACTCATTCCAACCACCACAGTTGTGAGGCACACCAGTTAACAAAACTCTTATCCTATGTACTCACAGACTCCAGACCAGAATTTTGTTCATATAATTTAAAATGTGAATGAAGAGTTAAGGATTGGCAGACATTTGAGGGGAAACTGAAAAAGTGGAATGATATCAAAGATATGAAAACTAAGATAAGGTGAGACTGAGAAAATAAATCTAAAAGATTAAGCATTAAAAGGAAACAGAATAATGATGAGGAAAATATTACAAAAATGTAATACAAGATCATTTAACAGGAAAAATACACAAAAATTTAGGACAAAAGAATCATCAGATATACAATCCAAAAAATAAAACATGCAAGGCTACAGATGGTAAAAATTTACAATATCAAAAATACAAAGATGACCCTAAAAGCTTCCAAAAATTTATTGAATGAGGTCACTCATGAAGGCCTGAGAAACTGCCCAGCATCAGATTTTTCATCAGTAAACTGGATAACAGACATTCAATAAACAAAACCTTATACAGTTCTGAGGAAGAATATTGACTATTTGTCATGGGAAGCATAATGCTATGCCTTATTTTATGAAATTGTTTTAGGCCATGCTTTAAAAAAATAAATAACTTAACCAAGAAAGAAGCAACTAAATCAAGTTCCCACCCTGAGTTTTGTGTGTACTTGTAGTTGGATAGTTGTCAAGACTGGGTTTGTATAAAGGCTTTTGTACTCACATGTCTTATACCTGATCTGGTTTGTTTAGAACAGTAAAAGCTGTTCAGGAATCTCCGTTTCTCCATCTTAAAACCACTCATTATGGCTTTATCACAGTACGAAGTTCTTAGAATAGACAGCGTGTACTTTCCAGAGGACCAGAGGGAAGCAGCAATACTTCTTAGGATTTAGGTGCGGATGTCTCAGAAGGGACTTCTGCCCATTCTATTGGTCAAATAAGTCATGAAAGCTGACCCAAAAGAGAGAACTAGTTAGACTTCACCACTAACAAAGCCTGTTTATCCCTTGCTTAGACTTCACCACTAACAAAGCCTGTTTATCCCTTTTTTTTTTTTCGAGACAAAGCCTTGCTCTGTCACCCAGGCTGGAGTGCAGTGGCACAATCTCAGCTCACTGCAACCTCTGCCTTCTGGGTTCAAGTGATTCTCCTGCCTCGGCCTCCTGTGCTGAGGATTACAGGTGGGATTACAGGTGCATGCCACCATGCCCAGCTAATTTTTGTATTTTTAATAGAGATGGGGTTTCACCATGTTGGTCAGGCTGGCCTCGAACTCCTGACCTCAAGCAATCCATCCGTCTTGGCCTCCCAATGTGCTGGGATTACAGGCATAAGCCACCGCACCTGGCCCATTTTCTTTTTGCTCTACTTCTAATTATACTCCCTCTCCACATGTTAACCCCCAAATTAAGGCTTTAGTTAATAGAATTTATATTAACTGTTAGTCAAAGCTTCTATTTAACTGATACACACATAGCATTGTATGTGTCAAGAAACTAAAGGATTAATTAGTTTCTTGAACAGTCCCAGGATCGAGAAACTAAAATATCAATGCCTGGCTCATGTACCAGCACATGACCTGTCATGGCTTGCTTTTGTTATAGTTCAGTGCTCATGCTAATCTTCTCAAAAGACATATTCCAAGGCCACTGTGATATTTCCCTCCAAGGATCTCAGAAGTTTGGACTATGCCCCAGTTAATTTGCTACTCTGACACTGAAAATTGAGGAAGACACCAAAAGTTCTCTGCAATTATAAATAAAACTACTGCAATAATAATAATACAACAAATAAGCAAAACTTTACTGTTATTAAAGAAAAATTACCTACTGGGCACAATAGACACTATATGGGTGGTGGATACACGAGAAGCACAAAGTCCACCTTTACTCAATATATGCATGTAATGAACCTGCAAGTGTTCCCCTCAATCTAAAATAAAACTAAATTTAAAAAAAGGATAAATTACTGAACTAAAAGGTCAAATATATTCTCTATCATGTAGTAAACACAAGAAAGCTAAGTTATAAAGAAAAGTTAGATATTTTGTGAGTAGAAGGTGAAGTTACAAAATTTCTGTACTAGAACTTCTAAAAGCAAATAACAGGTCGGGTGCGGTGGCTCATGCCTGTGATCCCAGCACCTTGGGAGGCTGAGGCGGGTGGATCATGAGGTCAGGAGATCAAGACCATCCTGGCTAACACGGTGAAAACCCATCTCTACCAAAAAATACAAAAAATTAGCCGGGCATGGTGGTGGGCGCCTGTAGTCCTAGCTACTCAGGAGGCTGAGGCAGGAGAATGGTGTGAATCCAGGAGGCACAGCTTGCAGTGAGCTGAGATCGCGCCACTGCACTCCAGCCTGGGTGACAGAGCAAGACTCTGTCTCAAAAAAAAAAAAAAAAAAAAAAAAAAAGGAAATAATAGAGATTGAAAAAAAAAGGAAGAAATGATCAAAGCAATAATAGGAAAAAGGTCATGTTCATGTTTTTAGGATGAAAGAGTTGTTCAAGAAGAATAAATATACAACATCTATACTCAGAAACATCTGATGAAGTATTATAATACCCAGATAAATTTTTTTAGAAGTTTCAGAGAAAAACAAAAAGACTACCAACAACAGGAAAAAGTATTATATTGTCCTCAAACACTGCGTCAAGAATACCCCAAAAGTTTTGAGAAAATATTCTTTTGCTCCTAGAATTCTAGGTTTAGCAAAATGATCATTAAAGTGCAAAGGCAAAATAAAGACTATTTGAGACAAAGATTGAGGATGGTTAGCATTCAAGAACATAAGCCATATCCTAAAAGGATCACTTGAGATAAAAAGAATAAGATATACATCACACACACACACACACATAATCAATATGAGAAAAGAATCAGTAAAGCGTATAATCAGTCCTAAAATATTAATGAGGTGTCTGTGAAGCTTAATGTAATTAAGAAACTCGTCCAAAAAGATGCAATGTGTCAAATAAAAGTGATGAAAACTGAGAATTCATATTCTCATATTCATATTCAACAAAATATTCTGTATTGCTATAAGTCCTGTCTTGTTCTGGGTAAAGACACTGTAGACACTATATCCTTCTTATTGTAATAGAAAGGCAGAAGCTAAATACAGCTCTTACATATTTAATATTATCTATTAAATGAAAGAAACAGATTTAGATTCCAAAGCCCTAGAATGAAAACAAACAAAAAACAGAATAAACTCAATAAAGACAATGAGAAGAGAAAGACAAGACAATAAAAATAAATAGAAAACACAAAACAACACGATAATGCTACTAAAGCATATATTTCTGATATTGAAATGCTATAAATTTCCCTTATAAAAATTTCCCTTTACTAAATATAGTACAATGCAAGTACATTAAATGGTACAAAAATGGTATGTTATATAGAGAAATATCCACTAAAAACCTATTAATGATAAATCTTTATAAACCTAGCAATATAATTTCAAGAAATTCAAGAAAGATAAAATTAAATTTTCTGGAAATAGCAGAAAAAAATACAAAATAGAGGAACTGGGAATACTATGTTATAAAGTTATCATTATACATGGATCAGACCAGTGTTACTTTAAGTTATGCATAGATTATTTAAAATTTTGTATTGCAAACTCCAGGGCCAACACTAAAAAATTGCTTCAAAGAAGTAATGGTATACAAAATAGAGATAAAATTAAACATACAAAATGTTCAATTAAAACCAGAGAAGGCTGAGTGCGGTGGTTCATGTTTTTAATCCCAGCACTTTGGAAATCCCTGGCAGGTGGAACTTTCAGGAGTCCCAGACCAGCCTGGGCAACATGATGAATCTCTGTCTCTATAAAAAATACAAAAATTAGCCAGGCATGTTAGCATATGCCTACTACAGCTGAGGTGGGAGGATCACCTGAGCCCGGGGGGTTCAAGGCGGCAGTGTGCCAAGATTAAACCACTGCCCTCTAGCCTGGGTGACACAGAGAGATTCTGTTAAAAAAAAAAAAAGAAAGAAAGGAAAAGAAACACAGAGAATAAAAGGGCGGGGGGGGGAAGGAGGAGAAGAGAAACCAAGAAAATGCAATGAATAAAAAGCAATTACATACATGGTAGATAATAATCCAATTATATTAATAACCCTTTAAATGTGAAGCACTTAAATACTTAAGGTAAAAGATGGAAATCGTCAAAGCAGATTTAAAAAAAATCCAAGACCAAATCATATATTGTATACATAAAAAAAGTTCAGTATAAAACCTAAATAGCTTAAAAGTAAAAGGATAAATAAATATTTATCATGTTAACACTAATCAAAGCAAGCTGAAGTAGCTATATTAATTTCAGATAAAACAGACTTTAGAGTAAGGAAGATTATCAGTGATAAAATCTGGCATTACAAAATGATAAAGGTGTCAATTCTCTCCAAAGACATAACAATCTTAAACTTGTTTGCAGTTAACAACAGTGTCAAAACATGTGAGGCAAAAACTGATAGAATAGACAGGAAAAGGGTACAAACCTACTATCCAAGTTGGAAACTTCTGGTATCTCTGTTTCAGGTATTGATAGATCAAACATGCTGAATATCAATGAGGATATAGTTAACTTTAATAGCAATTCCAATATCAATCAACAGGATTTAATTGACAGGATACTCCCTATCCAATGACTACAGAATCTACATTTTCCTCATACATATATGGGACATTCACCAAGATAGACAGCTACGTGGGCTACAAAATACACCTTAGTAAACTTAAAAAAATTAGAAAACATGCAAAGTATGTTCTCAGCCCACCACGGAATTAAATTAAAAATGAGCAACGTAAAGATATCTGAAAAAATTTCTAAATATGCAGATTAAACACTATAATTCTAAGTGGTGCATGTGTCAAGAAGAAGTGTCAGGAGGAATTTAAAAATATTTTGGACTAAATGAAAATGGAAATACAACTTAGCAAAAATTGTAGGAATATAGCAAAAACAGTGCAATAAAAAAGGAAACATTTAGCATATGTCTGTATTAGTCCATACTCACACTGCTATAAAAAAATACCTGAGACTGGTAATTTATAAATAAAGAGATTGAGTTGACTCATGGTTCTGCAGGCTGTACAGGAAGTATGGCAGCATCTGCTTCTGGGAAGGCTGAGGGAGATTTTAATCATGGCCAAAGGCAAAGCAAGAGCAGGTGTCTTACATTGCTGGAGCAGGAGGAAGGGGGTGGGGGTGCTACACACTTATAAACAACCAAGTCTCAGGATAACTCACTCATTCACTATCACAAAAGCAGCACCAAGGGGATGGTACTAACCCAATCATGAGAACACCTCCATGAGCCAGTCACCTCCCACTAGACCCTACCTCCAACATGGGATTACAATGCAACGTGAAATTTGGTGGGGACATAGATCCAAACCATATCAATGTGTGTGTGTGTGTGTGTGTGTGTGTGTGTGTGTATGTATATATGTGTATATGTGATAAGAAGCTAAAATAAATAACTTAAGTTTACACCTTAGGAAACTAAAGAAAGAAGAAAAATTTAAACCTAGGACAAGCAGAAGAAAAGAAAGAATGAAAATTAAAATGAAAGTCAATAAATTAGAAAACAGTGATACAATAGGGAAAATCAAGTAACCCAAAAACTAGTTTTTCAGAAAGATCATTAAAATTACGAAGCCTCTAGCCAAGCTAAGCAAGAAAAAAAAAGGACACAATTTAGCAATGTAAAACATGAAATAACTTTATCACTACTTATCCCATAGACATTAAAAGAATTATAAAGGAATAGTATAAACAACTGTACATCCACAGATTTGATAACTTAGATGACATGAACCAATTTATTGAAAGACACAATTGCCAAACTTTATAGAAGGAGAAATAGAAAATATGAATAGGACAGTATCTGTTAAAATAATTGATCCAATAATTAATAAACTTCCAAAAGGAAAGCACCTTCCCACATTGCTATGGTCTGAATATTTTTGTCTCCTCACCACCTTCCAAATTCATATATTGAAATCCTCATCCCAAGGTGATGACATTAGGACGTAAGGCCATTGAGAAGTGATTAGGTCATGTAAAAAAGACAGCCATCTACCAACCAGGAGGCAGGCCCTCATCAGACACAGAATCCGAAACCTCCTTGATCTTGGACTCCCCACCTCTATGAGAACTATGAGAAATAAATTTTTGTTGTTTATAAGCTATCCAGTATATGATACTTTGTTATAGCAGCCCAAATGGACGAAGACACAGATGTTGCCACTGGTGAATTCCGCCAAATATTCAAGGATTAAATGATACAAATTATCCACAACCAATCCAATAAAGTAGAAACTCATTCTCTAAGGCCAGTATTATCCTCACATTCAAAGCAGATAAAAACATTACAAGACAAAAAATACACAGCAAAATCTCTCAGGAAGATAGATGCAAAAATCCCTCACAAAATATTAGCAAATTAAATCCAACAATACATAGCAAATATAAATTATGTCCTAAAGGGTATTTATTCCAGATATGTAAGGATGGTTAAACATTCAGAAATCAATTGATGTAATTTATGATATAAGTGGATAAAGATGAAGAATCTTGTGATCATAACAACTTATATTGGAAAAGCATTTGTCAAAATCCAACAGCAATTAATGACAAAAAACTCAGAAAAATAGGAGTAGAAAGGAATGTCCTCAGATTTTAAAGAACATAAAAAAACTTACAGCAATATCATCCTATTTAATGGTGAGAAACTAGAAACCACATTTAATGGTTAGAAACTGGATACTTTGCTTCTTAGTCTGGGAAAGACAATGTTCTTCTTCCTCACTGCTCCTGTTCAGTATTATACTAGAAACCCTAACTGATACAATATGATGAGAATATAAAAATGACAGATTGCAGAGGAAAAAATGAACCTGTCCTTATTTGTAGATGGTATGATTCTCCATGAATAAAATCTTAAAGAATCAAAAATGAAACAAAACCGACCAATAAACATACTAAAACACTTTCTGGAAATGGAACTATTAAGTGAGCATGGCAAGGTCATGGGATATAGTTAATATACAAAAGTCAACTACTTTGTTATGTAGTTGCAATGAACAATTGGAATTTAAAATTAATAAGTAATTACAATAGCATTAAAATGCCTCCATATAAATCTAACAAAATATGTACAGAATGCAGAAAACTACAAAATTAGGGGAAAATAAATAAAAATTATAAATATAATAATCTATGCTCATGTTTTGGAAGATGGAATGTTTTTAAGATGAAAAGTTCCCCTAACCTGATAGATTCAATGCCATTTCAGTAAAAATCACAACAAGCTATTTTTTTAGATATTAACAAACTGACTAAATTTTATATGGAAAGACAAATGTTCTAAAATAGTCAAAACAATACTGCAGAAGAAAATAGTTTGAGGACCTACTGTACATGATTTTAAGGCTTTCTATAATGTTACCAAAATTACTTACTAAAGATAATCAAGACGGCATGATATTGGTGAAATAATAGACATAAACCGATGGTACAGAATAGAGAGCATAGAAACAGAAACACACAAACATAGTCAAAGGATTTTTGATAAAAAGCAAAAGTGATTAAAAAAGAAAGAATATATATTACAACAGATAATGCTAGAATAATTGGATGCCTATATAAAAAGGGAAAAATAAATAAAAAATATATCACAGGACTTACAACATTCACAATAATCCATTCAAATTGGACCCATAGACCTGAAAGAAAAATACAAAACTATGGAAACCTCTAGAATAAAATGTAAGAGAAAAATCTATGTAATTTGGGGGTTTGGTACGAGTTTTCAGATGTAATACTGAAAGCACAATCCATGAAAAATAATTTGGTAAGTAGATTTCATTAAAATTTCATAGGTCACTGTGCAAAACACACCACTAAGAAAACAAAAAGCCACAGAGAGGAAATATTTGCAGAAAACATATCTGATTAAAGACTTTTCTCTAAAAAATGCAAAAAATGTTATAACACAACAGTAAGAAAGAACCACATTACAAAAATAGGCAAAAATCTGAACACACACCTCACCAAAGAAAATATACAGACAGCAAGTAAGTGTTGCAGGATCTTTGGGGCATCGATTTTCTGGCCACAAACCTCTGTGGCTGGTGGCACCTTTGTCCAAGCTCTTGTCTTGCATCCAGGAGGAATGAGGTAAGCAGACAAGTGGAGGGTGAACAAGACAAAGAGGAGCTTTATTGAGTGTTAGAACAGCTCAGAGCGGACCCACAGTGGGTAGCTCCACTGTGTAGGCAGGTCGTTCTGTCGAGTGTTCAGCTCTCAGTAGAGAGGAGGCCCTGGAGAGGGTAGCTCCTCTCTGCAGTGGGTTGTACCATCCTCTGCTCTGCTCGGGATGCACCTGGGGCTGTTGTGGTCTTCAGAGCAGGAAGCGTGTGCTAATTGTTCCATGGGCAGCCATGGAGTGGGGCCAGGAAAAAGCACAACGAGTTCCCTCTCTAGTCTGCAGGACTAGCAGCACAGCCCCCAGGTTTCAGGCCTGCCCTGGCCTGAAGTGGGGCGTCACTGGGGACACACCCACTTCCACCCAGAAGCCTGCCTACCTCCTACAGCCGTTCATCATGCCCACACTGCTGGCACCAAGGGGTACCTTCAGGCCATCACAAAGCCACCCTCCACCTGCCCCTCAGCTTCCCCACTCAAGCTCCTCAGTGCTCAAATTCCAGAGGGGACCCAGGCGGTAGGGGGCTGGCATGTCAGTAGTGCCCCAAGAGTGCACACCCAGCAGGGCTGTGACAGCGCCCAGGTTCAGCACCATCCCTGCTCTGAGATCCGAGCAAGTGCCCTTGAGAAGCCAGGCAGTGAGAGCTTTGTACCCATTGATCAATCTCTCCCCATCCTCCTGCCTCACTATGATGACTATAATTAACAATAATGTATTGCATATTTCAAAACAGCTAGGAGAGAGGCTTTTGAATGTTCTCATCAAAAATAAATCATACAAGTTTAGGATGATAGATATGCTAATTATCTTGATTTAATCATTAAACAATGTATATAGACATATATTGAAATATGTTGTACCACATATATATGTATAAATTATTATGTCAATCATAAAAAAAGGAAAACCAAAATAAACTACATATGCATTTAATCTTGTTAGTAAAGTTATCCCCAAGAGAATACAGGTTAAAAGTTTGGATATTGCTATATATACATTCTAGAATCGCATAATTTTGTAAATGGGATAACTGATAATGGAAGCTAGATTTCTCACTGTTGGGAAGGTATCAGATAAGCAAAAGAAGAAGGTAAAATGATTCGTGTGGTAATGTATTGGAGTTGGACATCATTATGAGCTCATGTTTAGCTAAATAGGGCTATAGATTATTGTATACAGAAGTATTTATAAATATGTGTATATACATGACAGTATACACACATATGTTTCCTTCCTCTGTCAACTGAGAGGGTCTAGAAGCAATAATATCCCAGTATCAATGAGTACACATAGCACTCAGATCTTTGTTTCTTATTCTCCAATAAATGAAACCAAGGCTCCTTGGAGAATGAGCTGATTCTAGTACTCAGATAGGAATTATAACGATCTGCCTGTAGTCACAGAAATTAATGAAGATATCCCCCCAAAGAAAAGACAATTATGGTGCTGTGCCAAAGGGACACAAGGCAACTGAAAGAACTTCCAGTTGGCAAAACTTGAACAACAAAATTTAATATTGGATTATAATCCAAAGTATAAAATAAATATCCATGAGTTCATATTGGTAAAAATAAATGAATAAATAAATGGGGAAGAATAAACAAATCTCTCATACAGAATAATTCTAAATACTTTATGTTGCTTATTCTGCCCACATGAATCTTGTAGACAATTCTCCACTCCTTGAGTGTAGACTGTGCACCGTGACTTACTTCCAAAGGGCTAAGTATGAAAAAAAGAAACAAAACAGTAATTTTACCATGGAAAAACTTAAACACTACATCAGCCAGGTGACCAAAGTTTGCATTAACAATAATAAACCATGCTGATAGTATACACGCTTGATATGCTATGATGAAAATAGCTATTCATGATAAAGACATCAGAAAACTTCCAGTGAGGGACCTTCTACAAAATATTGGACCAATACTCCTTAAAATTGTCAAGCTCATCAAAACCAAGAGAAGTCGGAGAAACTGCCATAGTCAAAAGAAGCCTAAGAAAACATGACTAATAATATAATGTGGTATCCTGGATGGGATCCTAAAACAACAACAAAAACATGAAGTAAACAAAGAAAAAATGAATAAAGTATAAATTTTAATAATAATTTATCAATAATTTTTATTAATTGTAACAAGTATACTACAGATTTTAATGGCTGAAATTAGGTTGATCTATATGGGACTCTATACCATCTTCAGACATTTTCTGTGTCTAAAATTGTACTAAGTTTATCTAAAAATGAAAGCACTCTTTTCAATACACCTGTAGAGACAACCAAAACAAAGACCCAAAATTCAATAGCCTTAAATAAGTTTATGTCAAAGCTGGAAATATTGGTCATATATGACCTCAACATTTTATTGGAGAAGTTAGTATAACAGCTTCATAAACTAGGGCAGTGGGAGTAAGAAATTAATAAAGATGAAAGCTCAAAGTAATTTACAATGAAGCCAAGAAAAGTAGACATGATCAATAAATTCAAAAATTATTTCTTCGAACTGACTAATGAAATAGGAAAAACAAACTTTTGAAAATTCTTCACAAGGGAAAAATGAACATAAGTATAATTAAAGTGATTATAGATGGGTATAAGAATGAAACAACATATGAAAAACATCCTAAAAGTTTTAAAAGAGTATCGGCAACTTAACTCTGCTGCTTCTTTGTTGAATTTCTCTACGAATGATCTATCTGTCCATCACTGATGGTGGGATGTTATAGTTGTCTACTACTATTGTATTGCAGTTTCTCTTTCTCTTTAGACTTATTAATGTTTGCTTTATATACTTGGAAGCTCTGGTGTTAGGTGCATAAATATTTATAATTGCTATATCCCCTTGCTGAATTGACCCTTTTATCACTCTAAACTTATCTTCTTTGTCTCTTTTGGCAATCTTAGATTTGTATTCCATATTATCTTATGTAAGTATAGGTACTCCTACTCTTTTTTTTTTCATTTGCATGGAATACTTTTTCTACCCCCTCACTTTTAGTCTATGTGTGTCAATATAGGTGAAGCAAATTTCTTGGAGACACAGACTGAAAGTGAAGACAAAACGTGCCAAAATTCTATGTGATACAGCAAAAGCACTACTAAGAGGAAAGTTTATAACAATAAATCCTATACCAAAAAAGTAGCAAGACTTCAAATAAAAAACCTAACAATGTATTTTGAAGAACTAGAAAAGCAAGAACATACTAAACCAAAATTAGTTACGGGAAAAAAATACAGTTCAAAACAGAAATAAATGAAATTGAGATCACAATAATACAGAAGATCAGGGAAATAGTAAGTTGTTTATTTGAAAATAAAAACAAAATTGATAAACCTTGAGCTACACTAAGAGACAAAGATGACCCCAATAAATAAAATTAGAAACAAAAAAGGAGACCTAACAACTGAGACCTCAGACATAAAAAGATTCATTCATTAGAGACTATATTGAACAATTATATGCCAACAAATTGGAAAATCTAGAAGAAATGGATGCATTCCTGGACACACAATGTACCAAGATTGAACCATGAAGAAATAGAAAACCTCAACAAATCAATAAGAAGTAATGAGATTGAAGCTGTAATAAAACAAAGTCTCCAATCAAAGGAAAGCTCAGGACTGAATAGATTCACTGTTGAATTCTACCAAATATTTAAAGAAGTAATACTAATCACGCTTAAGCTTTTCAAAAAAATTGAAGAGAGAGAATACTTTCAAATTCATTCCACAAGGTCAGCATTACCGTGATATCAAACCTAGATAAGGACACAGCAACAACAGCAAAATACTACCAGCCAATGTCACTCTTGATATAAATGCAAAAAAATTTTTTAAAAAAATACTAGCAAACTGAATTCAATATTACATTAAAAAGACCATTCACCATGAACAAGTCGAATTCATCCCAGGATGCAAGGATGGTTAAACATATGCAAATAAAAAATGTGATCTATCACATTAAGCAGAATCAAGAAGAATGATTATTTCAATCAATGACAAAAAAGCATATGTTAAAAATTAAACATAACTTTATGATAAAAACTCTCATCCAAATGCGTATAGAAGGAGCATACCTGAAGACAATATAAAGAGCATGCAAATAAGAATACAGGAAATGGAGAAGTCAAATTAGCCTTGTTCACAGATGATATGATCTTATATTTAGAAAATCCTAAAGATTATACTAAAAAACTGTTAGAAATGATAAACAAATTCAGTAAAGTTGCAGTATACAAAATCAGCATTAAAAAATCTGTAGCATTTTTGTATGCCAACAGTGAAAAATCTGTAAATAAAATCAAGAAAGCAATTACATTTACAATAGCTACAAGAATATAAAGTACTAAGAAATCAATCTAACCAAATAAGTGGAAGATATATGCAAGGAAAACTATGAAACTCTGATGAAACAAATTAAAGAGGACACACAAAAAAGAAAAGATATTCCCTGCTCATATATTGGAAGTATTAATATTGTTAAAATGACAATCCTACCCAAGGTAATTTAAGGATTCAGTGCAATCCCTCTCAAAACACCAAAGAATGACATTCTTCATAAAAGTAAAAAGTACTAACTTTATATAAAACCACAAAAGACCCCAAATAACCAAAGCAATCCTAAACAAAAAAAGAACAAAGCTGGAGGCATCATATTATCTGACTTCAAAGTTGACTACAAAGCTCCATAAACAAAACAGCGTAGTACTGGTATAAAAACAGACACACAGACCAATGGAACAGAATATAGAACCCAAATAAAAATCCAAGAATTTATAGCCACGCTCATCTTCAACAAAGGCACCAAGAACATACAATGGGGAATGAGCAGTCTTTTCAATAAATGGTGCTGGGAAAACTGGATAATCATATGCAGAAGAATAAAACTAGATCCCCTATTTCTCACCACACATGAAAACAAAAGCAAAGCAAATTTAAAACTAAATTGAACACCTGAAAATATGAAACTACTAGAAGAAAATATTGTGGAAACGCTCCAGGACATTGGTCTTGGTAAATATTTTTTTTGTGTATATAAGAACTCAAAAACACAGGCAACCAAGCAAAAATGGACAAATGTGACCGCACCAAGCTAAAAAGCTTCTTCACAGCAGAAGAAACCATCAACAAAGTGAAAAGACAAAGAATAGAATGGGAGAAAATATTTGCAAACTACCCATCTGACAAGATATTAATAATCAGAATATGTAAGAAGCACAAACAGCTTAATAGCAAAAAATAAAATAAACTAATTAAAAAATGAACAAAACATCTGAACAGATATTTCTCAAAAGAAGACATACAAAAGGATAAAGTGTATATTAAAATGTTCAACATCATTAATCATCATGGAAATGCAAATCAAAACCACAGTGAGATACCATCTAAACCCAGTCAAAATGCCATTAATGAAAGACACAGGCAATAATAGATGCTGGCAAGAATGTGGAGAAAGGAGAATCCTCATACACTGTTGGTGGGAATGTAAATTAGTACAGCCACTTTGGAGAACAGTGTGAAGGCTCCTCAAAAACCTAAAACTAGAACTATCATATGATCCAGCAATTCTGCTACTGGGTATACATCAAAAAATAAAATCAGTTCGTTGAAGATAGAACTGCACTCCTGTGCTATTCAGAATAGCCAAGATATGAAAACAACATAAGCATCAACAGATGAATGGATAGAGAAGATGTGGTATACATACACAATGGAATATTATTCAGTCACATAAAAGAATAAAATCTTGTCATTTGCAGCAACATAGATGGAACTGGAGGCCATATGTTAAGTGAAATAAACCAAGCACAAGAAGTCAAATACCACATATTCTCACTCATATGTGGCAGCTTAAAGTGGATTCATAAAGATAGAGAGCAGCATGATGATTACCAGAGACTGGGAAGAGTAGTGGGGAGAGGGAGATATAGGGAAGAAAAAAATATAAATGTATTTATCACCACTGAAATATAAACTGAAAATTATAAAGATGGTCAATTTCATATGTATATTTTACCTCAATGAAAAATAAAATTTAAAAATGTATACCATCCCTCCACAAAAAGCAAAAGTATTTGCCAGATGTTAAAAAAAAAATGTATCAACCTACAACAGACCAATAAAAACACAAAGATAAGGCAAAATCGCCCTTGGAAGGATATCATATATTTCTTTCATGTGTTAATTCTGCACAATTTTAATAGTCCAAGATTACTTTCTATTTAAAATGTCACAGATGCATATATAAAATGAAATATTTTGTGATTCATTCTGTCCAAAACAAAACAGCATAAAAAGTAAAATGTGTAACTTAATTTTATGTGTGAATTTAGATGCTATTTTAGTTCCCCTGGCTGCTTTAACCAGTTACCACAAATTTGTTGGTAGGATCACACTTCTTTCTGGGGGCTCTCAAAAAGCCCCCATGCTTTTTGTTTCCAATCTTTTTCCAGCTCCTAGAGGCTCCCTGCATTCCTTGGCTCACAGCTTCCTTCCATCTTCAAAGGCAAATGGACTGGTCAAGTCTTATATTGCATCACTCTTGAATGTGACTCTTCTGCCTCACTCTTTGACATTTAAAAGACATTTGAGATTACCGTGCCCACCCCTCAATGTTAAAGGATAACTTCTTATGTTAGATCATCTGATTAGCAATCTCAATCCCAACTACAACCTTTATTCGCTCTTGCCATGTAACCTAACATATTCACAGGTTCTAGAAGTTAGGATACGGACATGTTGGTGAGGAGGGAGAGATTATTCAGCATACCATACAGGGCACATATTATATTTAGGAAATGTGCGAAATTGTTTACATAGTGCATTAAATGAAAGTGGGAGTTCTGGAGTCAGAATTTATAGAAGTTTAGCCACTTTAGCCACTATCTCTGCAACCTTAAGTGAAGACGGGATTTGTGACTTGCTTTATCTGTTTGGAAAATAAGAAAAACAGCTGTGTCTAAAATATAGAATTGTTTGGAAGACTAAATGACTACTGCATAGAAATCACTTAAAGTCTGGCACATAATAAGTATTCATACTCAATATTATTCGATTTTTATTTTATTTAGTCTTCTCATAAACCAATGCGAGTAAAAATATGACTTTCATTACCAGATGAAGAAAATCAGGGTTAGAATATAATACAATAATTGTTACATAGTATAAAGTTGTGAAATGGGTTTTAGAATGTAAACAATTTCACACTTTGGATTAAACTCTTAAACTTGAAGTGAAAACATTATTTTAAGGGCTTAGGTTTTACATGCATTATATTTAAAATACATGTACAATTACCTAGCCTCTAGGAAAAATATGTGAAACCTGAGCATAGATTTTGAGATATGACCCAATATTGATTATGTTTTTAACATTATTATTTTAGTAATATAACCTTAAAATTAGAGACGGAATTATCTATCAAAAATAGAGACTACTTTTCAGTCACATTTGATTGTCTTAAATACTCAGATGCTTGAGTTCAGGCCAATGAAATGCAAGTGCAACTTTCAGATTGCATTCCTAAATAAAATGGATATAACCTCTACTTTCAACATTGAAACATTTTGCTCAGGAATCTTCATGGATGTATATAAACAATTGCAATATCCTAGGGATGACAGAACAAGAAGTTAGAAGACAGGGTCCCTATCTCTGGAGTATTTTCACTTGTACTATTTTGTAAGAAATAAAAACATATAACTTTTTAAAGCCACTTTTAGCTTGATATTGTTATATCACTTGAAATTATAAACAAACTTAAACAACATTTGATCCAGAAGTAGAGTTGCTGTTACGAAGTCTCAAAAGGAATCATCAGCATGGTGTTTCTGTGTCTCAAGGACACAGATGTTGTAGACTAGAAGGTCAGCTACCCTGATTATGTAAAAGCAAACCATTTGTTACCAGATTTGTCCAATAGACTTTCTGTAATAATGGGAATCTCAGAAGTTAGAATACAGGCCAAAGGAGCCTGTAATTTAAGGGGAACCAATAGGAAAAAATTAAAATACTGGAAGTGTTGATTTCTTGTTAACATTTGCGGCAAGACAGCAGAGACAACATCATAGAAAACCTAGAGTTTCAAAGAAGAGATACCAGAGAATACAGCTTTGTAAAAGGAGATTGTTTTGGCCTCAGTCTGCAATCTATTTTACCCAAATTCTGGTAATTTGAGCCTTGACAATGATGAAAAATCCAATGGTTTTTGTATACCAAACTAAAGTGGTGATAAGAGGTGACTGAAGAGGCACCTTTGGAAACAGGAGAGACTGTGGCCTCATGCATTTAAATAACTACCATGAAGAACTCTTTGGCAGGCCATGGGAAGCAGTTCAGCCACAAAATTGGGATTATGGCTATTACCATCGCACCTAAGCTTTTATTTCAGATAGCCTCAAGGTAACCTCCATGAAGGAGTGTGTAGCAAGGAATGGATAGAATGCAGTGTAAGATAAAACTTTTCATGATTAATACTTACATTTAGAATATATCCATGTCTGTGTTTCATTCATTGCACTGAATAGAAACGGATACAAAGTCCACTATGTTTCCAGAAGATTATATTCACCATAAAATTGTATGCCTAACCTGTAAAGGCCATTGCTTGTTTGACACTTAAAATCACTCCCATGGCCTAGAGACTGTACTCACTGGATAGGTTTTGGAATGATATAAAGTCTCAGGGTGGGCATGCACTTTACTGGCCAATTCAGATTTGCAGATAGAGAACAATAACCAATGAAGGAAGCTCCAGCAGGCAAAGTTGGGGGCAATAAGGATGATGGACAGATGATTCTATTTGCTTTACAATGAACAGAACCAGAGGTTGTGATATGAGCTAACCCAGGAATGTTCTTTTGTTGTCCAAAGATGTCTGCAATTCCTCCAAAGATATGATAACTGATTTAGATGAGTAACCTGCCATATGTTTTCCATTATTCCCTACCCCATAAGGGAGCTGTTCCTGTAGTTACATTTCTATTTTACCATGGTATGTTGGATGAAAAGTAAGTGGAGAGAAAATAATTTTTTTTGCAATAAAATGTTTTAAATTGACAAAATTTTATATACTCATGTTATACAATGTGATGTTTTGATATATGCACACATTATAGAATAATTAAATCAAATTAATTAACATATCAGTCACCTCACATCCTTGACATTTTCTGTGATGAGTACATTTAAAATTTGTCAGCATTTTTCCAGTATACAGTACATTATTATTAATTATATTCACCATGCTGTAGAACTTTGTACACTCCAACATTTCTTCATCCTGGCTTCCCCCAAACCTGGCCCCTGCTAGCCATCATTCTACCCTCTGTTTCTATGAGTTTGATTTTTGTTTTTTAGTTTTTATGTGTCAAACCACAAAGAGCTATGTCCATCCTTGCAGTTGGTCAGATAAAAAACTTGAATCATTTGTGACATCCTATTGCCTCTTCCTTCAAAATATATGGAGTCCTGATTTTCTTTCATATACCCTGATCCTCTTCCGCTAGCCTAGACCAATTTATCTTTGGCCTGAATTATTTCAATAACCTTTTAACTTACCTCCCTCCTTCTACATGATCTCTATAGTCTATTTTCAATGAATCAACCATTAAATATTGAATCAACCATGAAATATAGTTAAATATGTTAAATATATTAAAAATGAATCATTTTAAATATTTGTAAGATAAGAGAATGCCATTCTTTGCTCAAATCTCCTCAGTGGCTGGCTATCCATTTCAATAACATTAAAAGTCAAAACTCTTCCAAGCATAAACAAACTGTACATGATCTGGCCTCAGTTTCCTCTTTCACTTCATTTCCAACATGATTCCTCTTTATTTACTTGGCACCAGCCCTGTTGGCTTGTTTACTATTCCTCAAAAATGCCAGATCCTCATTTCTTAGCAATGGCTGTTTCCATCCCTGGACACTCATCTCTCATATATCCACAAAGCTCAGATGTTATTGTGTTATGTATTCTCCCGATCACCACATTACAATTCCAAATCATGCCTTCCATATATTCCAGTGATACGCTGGAGCCAAGTTGTTTAGGCTCATGATAGTTGATTGCAAATATTTTAGAAATTTCACAAGTTTGTTGACATCACATTGGTAGCTTAAAATTGATCGTATTGGAAGTATTTCCTGCATGGAAATTGGAAAACACTACAAGTAAGGAATTCTTTTACAGAGCTAGTTTTGAAATATTTACCAGCTTACTACTACAATACCCTTTCCTTTTTCTATATTTTCATAATATTTATGAACGAAAAGACACCTTAATATACTTATTTTAGTATTTATTACTTATTGCCTGCCTCTCCTATTAGAATGTAAATATAAGTGTAGAAATCTTAATTCGGTTTACTTATGTATCTCTCCAATGTATCTGTATTTAGAAAAGTGCTGACACCTAGAAGTCACTCAACAATTCTTGTCAAATGAAGGGGCCATTAACAATATAAACCCTTTAATTTTAGCTGGGAACAAGCACACCTAAAGGAAAGACTATATTTTATAGACTCTTTTGAAATTAAACATGGTCATTTGTTATCTACTGGCCAATGGGATATTGCCAGAAGTGATGTGTTCAATTATTTTACTATGCTTTTATTGGAAAGACATGAGCCTTCAAACAATTTAGAGAACAGATATGGTCATGTAGCATCTTGGACCATTCCTGTGGGGTAGCACTGTAGAGATTTCAGTGTCAAAACATGAATTGGTCCTGGACCCCTGACGCAGTGGTGCTGCAATAATAGTTCTGGTCAGATTGTGCTTAGATTGTTATTTAAGAAAGAAATAAAACTCTATCTTGTTTAATCCATTGATTCAACTGTTTTTCACATTATGGCACACTTAGAAAATGCTGTTTGTATAACCTGCTGAGTCAATAGATGAAGTAATAGGCTCAGTGGTTTCACTATCAGTGGCATGTAATTGCCCCATGGCATGACCTCTGCAATACTCTGCTTTCTGCCAGTGCTATTTGTCCTTTGCTATAGTAGCCAGACAGGTATCTTAGTTTAGAATATCATCTACTTTGTTAATTAGTTTGTTTATTTTCTCAGAATAAGTGAATTGCAACCACTCTCTTTATTATAGTATAACAAAATTGGATTATAAATTAAAAGATGTAGATTTTAGTGCCAGCTCCCTTCTATGTTAGGCTATTTGTATCTATTAATTCCTTTTCAGGAATGAGTAAATAATTATTTCAGTCTTTCCTTCCCAGGTAATCTCTACTGATTCTTTATGTTTAAGTTCAAATATTACTTCCTCAAGAAAGCCTTCCCTGAACTGTCAGTTGAGATGTTTCCCCCAATTATATGAACCTTTTGCTATTATTTTTGTCATATTGTTTAATACAGCTTTGTGTATTTATTGTCTAATATGCATCTATTATAGCCAAAACATGCTATGGCAAGAGAAAATATTTCTGTTTTACTCACTGCCTGGAACTTGGTTAATTTTTCAATTAACGTTTGTCAAAGAATGAATTAGAGAAATAACTTTGTACTTTTAAAACTGATTTTTTATTACAAATGGGACAAGAAAATATCTTCTATATCTAATTCAAAATGTTCATGTGAGAATTAACTGTGTCAATAGATGTTATGGTACTTTAAGAATGGTGTAGAACTACATCAATATAAAATATACACAATATAGTTAAATTACATAACAACGAATTTTGTTGCACATCACGCATTATTAGGTGATTATGCCTTCCGTGTTTTTATTTATTTCATAAAATAATTTAATTTTGCTTATTTTTATGCTCATCATAAGCATTTAACAACACAATTAGATAGGTTTTTTCTTTATTATGATTTTTAAAAATTAGTGTGTTACACATTACATTAATGCATAATTTTGTTTTTTATACTCAGAGCATCATTTTAGTTTGACACAGTCTTCAATTAAGATGGAACTATTGGCCTTTTACAATTCTCCAGTGACAACTTCTACTTTTTGGTAAATAAACAATTTTGAGAATTAGTGAATGAGTCTGGAAAGTAATAATTCCCCTAAACCAGTGTTTTGGAACTAAGTATGTGTGCATATAATTCCAGATGGTGACCTTTAATTTAAAACTTTCTGGGTTTATGCAATTTGAGCTCCTGAAAATTTCTGCCTACCAGCTGGTAGCAAGACACCATTACAGAGTTAAAGACAATGTAATTTCATTTATCACAGTTCCTAGGACTCATTTACACACTCTTTTATTTATCCTGTCAATCACAAATATTTCATTAATTCTTACTTTGTTACAAGCATAGTTTTAGACACTTGATACACATCAGTGAATTATACATGGTCCCTGTTGTAAGGTTGTTTACAATCCACTGTGGAGTACACACAATGAAAGCATAAAATGAAAAGAATACATATGATAACTCCACAAAGTAGTAAGTGACAGGAGTAAAATTTAAAGGAAAAGAGAATAAAATTGGAGTAATGTATCTGTATCAAAGTTGGCAGCTGCATAAAGTTCTGAGAGAAGTACATTTTTGCATATATGAAATAGTAATTAAATAATGGGTAAAATATGTAAAGGAACGTATGCATATAAGTTGTAAAAGGCATGATTGTGAAATGATGTAAATAAGCAGGAATGAGCAAGTTCTGTTCATGAAGATATTGCAATTCTGGGAGCCAGATAGAAAGCGTTTCAAATAACATTGGAATTTCAACTACTTCAATAAAATAGGAGTATAGCTAGATTCACAGTATTGTTATGAGCCAAGGGTTATATGTATATAAAGACATTAACACAGTAACTTGCATAAGATAGAACCTGCTTAGTAAATAAAATCTCCCTTTCCTTTTTCCTGGGTTTGCTATAGTAGAACATATCTCATGGTGTGAATATTGAGTATTTTCCCAAGAGAAAAAATGTAAAAAATAAAAATTAAATTTCCGACTCCTCTTTCTTAATACCTTAAACATCATAAATAAATTAGAAGGAAGAAATTGTTTCTAAAACTTTGTGAAAAGAGTATTGGTTGGGAAGATGATTTTTGTTTACCTAGTGTTTCTATGTTTTCCCCGTGGATTCCAATTTTTTGAGTAGTACATTTAAACAATGATATATAGCCTTATTCAATCCATGAGAACATGGGTGGATAGTTTTAAATTGGTCCCAATGGAGCTAATAATAGAGACATTAGGGAATGTGTTACCAAAACACAGAGAAATCATTCTTTGGCTATAAATGTGATTCTAAGCAACTTGTTTGTATGTAACATGCTTATGTACACACATACACATATATCTAGCATATGTATGTATGTAAGCATGTGAGACACAAATAAATATATTTTAAGAAATGGTTGTTAAATTAATGATGAAATAATGTTAAATAATGAAATCTAGGGCATGGTTTTACAGTACAATTCAATGCCTTCTAAATTATATTTAGTAATTATATATATATAAAGGAATACCGAGATTATATCTGTGTGTGTCTATACATACAACTATGCATATATATGTATATATGTGTGTGTGTGTCTGTGTATGTGTAAAGATACAGGATAAAGATAACTATATATAAGGCCATATATTTGTACTATGTATGTCAAAAGATAAATATGCCAAACACTATTAATTTAGGTATATGAATATGCCTTTGCTGTTTCAGCAGAACATTAGTCAATTATCTGTTTGTTTTCAAAGTGAGTAAAATGTAGTCAAATGAGAATTTCAGCCTTTCTCAATGTCTAGTTGGAATAACCTAAAATTAAAGTGGGGATGGTGGAGATATTTTAACAAAAACTAGAAAACTGAAACCAAGTAAAAGCATTCTAATAGTGTAGGCATCTACATTCATGTTGAAATTTGTGATCAATATTTTAAAAATTCACAATGTGTAGTCATGCTTTTCTAATAGTAATAGCTTTTTCTTTTCTTTCCAGAGAAAGTAATTTTTCACAGAATGAAAAGAAACTTAAAAACAAAAACTTCCAGATTTAGTGCTGCAACAATGGTTTACTTTGCCAGATGTTTTCTGGTTAAGGGCTAAAGCAATCAAATAAACAGATCAGAAGACTGATGCCTCTCTGTGGAAATGCCATTGTATCCCACATAGAAAAATGTCTTGTCTGTTTCTATGATCTAAACAAGGGCTCATGATTGAGCTCTGATTAAAGAGAGAATTATATATATATATCACATGAACTGTAATGAAAATTAAATATTATAAAGAAATTGTGATATATTATTTGGAAAGGAAAGAAATCCACAATCAATGGGAAACAAGCACCTTTCTTAACTGTACTGTTAAGTATGCTCATCACAGCTCAGGAGAAAGGCAGGGTTTATTAGAAACTGACAGGCATAAAAACATCTACTATTAGTACCAGAGTCATGCAGAGTTGATGACCTTATTATGTAGAAACTGTGTTGATTAGATATATTTGATACCTCTAATATCTTCCTTGAATTAAGGGCTAAATTAATATTAAAAAAAGATACTAAAGATTTCAAATGAAACATTTGTAAATTAATACAATTGTTTTAGGCCTAATTTTTCCATGTGTGAAGTCATCAAAATACATCAATTTTAATGTTAAAAACAAAGATATATAGTAAAAATTTTCCTCTCTTCTTAAAAGAACAAAAATTAAGTTCTCATTAAAAATGTAAAAAGACTTTTTGTAAAATCCAAGAGAGGCATTATGTCAAGTTTTGTATTGTATACATGCACTGAATTTAATTCAGCTGTTCCAATACAAATGGAAATAAATTAATGAATATCATTAAGAATATAATTTGAAAAAACATTATGAGAAAACCAGCAGGAAATAATATATTGATAATAACAAATTGTCCATACACATATTATGATGTTAATGTCACTAATGATTGCCCTATTACCCTTTATATCATCACTCTTTGTTATCTGGGGTCACTCATTTAGCCAAGAACTTGTCTGAGGCTTGAAAGTGCAAGAAGCCTCTGCTTGCATGTCTGGTGCCTAAGCCAAGATGGCTGGAACAAATGTGGCTTGGCATCTCCCTCAGGAGCAGCATAATTTGACTTCTTAAATGTTGTATTATAGCTCTAATACAGCAAAAGTGAAAGTTGTCACGTGGACTTGGCCTGGAATTAGTGTACAGTTAATCTGTCACCTACTATTGTTTAAAGCAAGTCACGAGACCAGCTCAGATTCAAAAAAAGGAAATAGTAAGACTCCACTTCTTGAAGAAGGAAGTAGGAAAATTATTGATGACCATCTTTGGAGGTGATCTGCTTCACAGAGAGGCAGACCACAACACAATTAACAAACCAAATCTTCAGTCATTTCTTATCTGACAAAGAATAAAGCCCTGCTTTTACTCAACAGAAACAACAAAATGAAATGATCAGAAAATAAAAATCTGATTCCCAAACACTGCTGCTACCAACGGGGAAACCATGTTCAGTCCAGGCTCAAAGCTAAACGTGGCCCCAAAAAAGAAATACAAATAAAAACCCAGAATTGGAAGAAAAATACCCCAGAGAATCAGAGAGACAGCTGAAGTAAAATTATTTTGCTCCTTGCAATTTACTCTCAGAACCAAGAATATACATGCCTGGACCCAAACAGCCCATGAAGTGTACTTTCTGGGGCCACGCAGTTGAACTGGCTCCAGAAGGTGAGTCTGCTTGGACATCTTACTGTCAAGGGATCATTTTTAAAAAGTTAAAAATTCCTACACAAATAAATAGAGTGAGCATATGTCAAAGATTTATTTAAGTCATAAATGAGGAAACCAATACAATGGTAAGACTGGTTCTGGTCTTATAGTTTTTTATTACATAAATGAAAGGGCTGTATCTTAAAGAAGTTATTTGCTGAAAATCACATAGGCAATAAGTGTTACATATGGGAATAAGATCTAGGACAAAGTCTGATTTCACTATAGTCTCCCAAGTGAGATAATTCAATTTTTGAAAAGCTTATTAAATATTCGGTATGGTATTTAGCTGAAATCTTCAGAACTGTAACTTCTAATCTCTGATCCTGGTTTTTTGTCTTACAACTACACACAGTACATCTAAAAATACAAAGCCCTTATTTGAAGTAATTTATGCTAATCTGAATAGCTTTTACATTTTTTTCTGAGCATTGCCTTTTATTAGCACATATTGTACTTCTACTCTACTTTCTGTAAGATACATTACATTTCTACTTTGTATTAATTCTTAGATCAGCCAAAACTGTTAGGTCTTGTTGCATGTAAGACTATTTAAACACTATGTGAACATTTTGCTTAGAAAAGTTTTGTGTATACATTTTTACAATTTTTCAAATGCAGATATATCTATCAGAGTTCTTGACTAAACAAAAAGTAACTGATTCTGTTTTTTTGTTTGTTTGTTTGTTTGTTTTTTGATAGAGTTTTCTCTCTTGTGGCCCAGGCTGGAGTGCAATGGCGCGATCTCAGCTCATTGCAACCTCTGCCTCCCAGGATCAAGTGATTCTCCTGCCTCAGCCTCCTGAGTAGCTGGGATTACTGGTGCCTGCCACCATGCCCTGCTAAATTTTGTATTTTTTAGTAGAGACAGGGTTTCACCATGTTGGCCAGGCTGGCCACGAACTCCTGATCTCAAGTGATCCGCCCTCCTCGACCTAGTGCTGGGATTACAGGTGTAAGCCACGGCGCCTGGTAGATTCTGGCTATTTTAAGAAGAAAATTGATTTATTGAAGGAATATTTAGTAGTTCAAAGAATTCATGGGAAGGTGGAATGGGAGCAGGAGTGGCAGCCAAGTTTAGGCCACCAGGAATATCCTGTTAGAATGATGATTTTCTATTGTTGCTACCACTTAATATTCTGTTGATGTATACTACTGGTAGGGTGCACCTCACAATTGTAAGTTAACATCAATTTGTTCTTACATGATTGCAAAACTTGTTCAAGATTCATAATATTGAGTTGGAGCAACTATTGCCAAATTAGATCAGATGCCTGCTCCATAAGTGCCAATGTAGTATATAACCCCATTTTAATTATCTTTTGTACTGGGAAAAGAAGGCTCAATAGAATTTTTTCCCTGTATAGAAAGTGAGAATTAATACATTTCAGATAAAAAGTCAATTTCCACCTTTCTGGAGGACTAACATTTATTCACTATGTTGGTTAATTTTATATGTCCATTTGCCTAGCCATGGGGTGCTCAAATAGACATTTCTGGGTGTGTCTGTGAGAGTGTTTCTGGATGAGATTAGTATTTGAACTGGTGGACTCAATAAAGTCTATTTACTTCCCAATTATGAGAGGACATCATCTAATTTTTGAGGGCTTGAGTAAAATAGTCAGAGGAAAAATGCATACTTGCCTGCATGCTTGAGCTGAAACATATCTCCTCTTCTCTTGCCCTTGGACTTGGATTTACATCAGCTCCCCTGATTCTCACACCTTTGGTCTCAGACTGAATTGCACCAGTTGCTTTTCTGAGTTTCCAGCTTGCAGATGGCAGACTGTGGGACTTCTCACTCTCCATAATTGCATAAGCCAATTTCTCATAATAAATATCTCTCATTTTCTCTGTCTCTTTCCTTTCTCTCATTTTGATGTTGCTTATTACATGTCCTGTTTATTTGTTAGCAGTACATTGTTGATCATCTTTCTCTAGTAAAACAAGCCGCATCTTAATAGTAAAGAATAAGCCATTATATAGGCCTTTCTTGCCTGCAAGAGTTCACAGTAGACTTCCAGTAAAACGTACCACTCTACAGAGTAATATAAAATGTTGTCTCCTAGGTTCATCTAAACATAGGTTTGCTAGATATAATGTGCCATCCAAATAACTATGTTTTATGAGTGAAAGAGTATACTATTGATAATCACACTCAAGTAACTATGAACAGAAATATTTCTATGCAATCTAAAATGTATTTTTAACCAATGAATAAGTCATTTCAGTAGTCTATAATACTAGCTCTCTGGATGATACACAGTATATTATGAGACCCCAAATTCCTTAAGGCATCAGTTTTCTGCTTTACTTATTTTTTCTAGATAATTATATTTTTTTGTGTTGGAGAATATGTGGTGTATCAGGCATTTAGTGTTCCCAGGATGGTGTTGCTAGCATAGGTATGATGGCCAGGAGCAAGGATCATTCATGGAATCCAGTTTCAAACTTCTTTCTAAAATTTCTTTGTCACCAAATGTCTAATTTCAGTCTTCTAAGTCCCTGACCACTTACACCATCATCTCAAAACCTTAGACATCAAGCATAAACCATAATATATCTCTATGTTAAGACATCCATCCTTATAAGTGAACAAAGCCATACATCCTTAAGTGGACAAAATGGCCATGCAGGAGATTGACTCTCTTTCTTCAAGAGAAAGTCCTAAAAGAAATGTCATGCTGCATTTCATTTATAGCTGGTGACAGCATATTATGCAGAGCCATTGGGAAGCCAAGCTTAAATTATTTCCTCTTATTTGGGCTGGTCATATTTATGGCCTGAAGAGGGGCTACAGTGAGGCAGGATATAGATAGATAGATAGGGAGTGTGAGGTCATATTTATGTCCTGAAGAGGGGCTACAGTGTGGCAGGATATAGATAGATAGGGAGTGTGAATGAAGTTGAATCTTACTTTATTTGTACCTTTAGTATCTGCTCGAAACTACTCCTGTCCATATATGATGATGAAAGTTTTTTGGGCAAGCCCAACCTTTTGGCTAGATATATCAGATATACCTTATTCAAGTGAGACAGCTTAGGTCACCTGGTCCTCTGGTATCCCATTCTCCACTGCGGCCCTATAAGAAGCCAAAAATTATTTCTGTAACATCCAACTTATTTTTTAAAAAAATTTCATCAACCACTGTAGAGAAAATATATTTTGCAGCTAGAATGAGCATTTCTGCATCTTTCAATAATTTTATGGTGACAGTAATCTTACATTTCTCCATGATTGTGGTGTTGCTTTTAATTTACTATTTTTATACAAATAAGGAGTTCTTAATATGGCCTTTTCTCTCATAATTCATAAATATATTCACTAAATATATATGGAGTGCCACTAGATAATAGGCATTATTCTTGGTACTGGGTAAACAGCATAGAAAAAGACAAACAAAGCTCTTCTTGTCATAGAGATTCCATTATAGAGTTGTATGTAGTAAACACACAAAAAAAATGTTCAAATACTTTTCATTAAAGTGATTTAAAAAATGGTGTGATACAAAAGTGAAAAGTACAGGGCAGAAGGTAGACATCAGGGAAGTCTTGTTTAAGGCTATGATCTTTATTACCCAAATCTGCAAATTTGCGTCTCTGCTGAAGACTCTGCAGAATCTCCATGTGGGAAAAGTGACTTGGTTGTGCTGGATCTGTCTGCATTCCAGCTGCCAAAAGGGCCTTGATATTTCCATAGTGACAGGAAAGCCTCAAAAAAATAAATAAATAAATAAAAATAAAAAAGCAGCAGATCGGAGGAGCCCCCGAAAATAAAAAAGGAGTTGTTAGATTCTTGCTTTAAAGAAAATGTAAATTCTAGAAATTTAATTTAAGTCCCTTTAGAAATTTAATTTAGCTCAGCTTTTCTCATTTGTCAACTTTGGATTATAATTTGGAATGAAGATTAAAGGTAACATTTGAGATCTTGGATATGCTAAATAAATATTAGCTGTAAATATCATTAGGAGAAATACCTAATGTAGATGACAGGTTGATGGGTGCAGCAAACCACGATGGCATGTGTATACCTACGTAACAAACCTGCATGTTCTGCACATGTATCCCAGAACTTAGAGTAAAAAAAAAAAAAAAAAAAAGTTAATAATAATGTAAAAAAATGATAATCTTGAAAAGTTGTTATGTGCTTTTTAGTCATTAAAGTTAAAATGTAGTTATTTTATTTATGTTTGTTCTATTTTTTCAGTTGGGTGAACATTTTCCTTCCCAGATAGAACTCTGTATCTTGTCTAGTATATAGTGTGTGTACAATAAAAAATAAAATATGTAAATATATATCTAAATATATAAATGAAATGATCATTCATAAAGTAGAAAAATATGAATGGCTTCTACTTTCTTATTTTGTCCTCGTCAACATTTGACATTGACCTCACATGAGCAGACTCATCCTTTCTTATGCTTTTTCTTCTAACCATTTCCTGTCTTGCTGTTGTCACCGCATGTTTTACCTTTAGTCTTCCTGCCATCATTATTAGACGTTGTTTAATGTTTAAAGATTCATCTTTTGCTTTGGGTCTCTTTTCCTACATTTTCCCATGTCATTTTCATATCTGAGCTCACAAAGAGCTTGCTGTGTGGTCGTGTTCATTTCTTTAGATGACTTACTCTTTGACTCTCATAAATTATTTTGTGATACTTCTATCAAAATTATATCTGTGTACAGTTTCTCATCTTTGGTGGTTCATCATCCATTCTAAGGTCTCTGTCTTTGGGGTTATATTTATTTTTATGGATTTATTTAAACCAATTTTTACAATTCAAAGGGGCCTTGTCAGGCAAAGCCTGGTAAATTACATTACAAAGCCTGGTGATTTCTTTGTAAATAGGACATCATTCTAGTATGTGGGTTGGGGGAACTGTCCTTCGAACCCACCCTTCTGTCAAACTCCCAATGCCCTACATCTTTTCCAGAGCAATAATGTTTTTGGTGTAGGAGAGATTAAATTCTCCTGTGAATCTAAGACTTTTAAATTTCCTACATTGAACTTCTAATTATCTACTCCATTCCAGAGTCATGCTGGTGGAGTTGGAAAGTGCATTTATTACTCATCAATAAATTCTGAATAAAAAGTACTTTGGATCTCTACAAATAACTATAGTTTATACTTACTGAATCAATTCAAATGCTAAGCTCCACAGAGTTCAGCTCTTGTGCTTTCTGCTCAAGAGGTCACAGGAAAATGAATAACATTAAAAAATATAGAAGTATTCAAAGGATACACAGCTCAATATTGCCAATTTTAAAGTGTATTTTGTGCTCTAAAACTGCTGGTTTCTCTGTCGCATAAAATGTTCAAGAAAATGCATTTACAACTTGCTTGCCTTAGCGCATGCTGTAGATGTAAAAAAAAAAAAGTATACTATTGATAGGAGGAATTCATAATTTTGGTAAAGTTTGTAACATCTGTTCTGCTAAAAAGAGGCTTCCCCATTGATGTTCAATGTGGTGAAATATTTTGAGCCCCTTAGAGACTCATTGATGTTCCTGGAGTCTGAGGCATCGGCAGTAACCGTGAATGTCTTCGTTCATTTGTAAAGTGCTCCAGCCAGAAAATTAAGCTGCAAGATGAAGATCTTGCTTCAGTGATCCATACTCTTGACATATTCAGCCTTTCAACCTGGTATATTTCAAACCTCTTTATTTGAATCTCTCCAGGGAAGCCAGTCAAAGAATAAAAATGGCCCATAAAGCAGACTGGCTTTTGAATTGAGCAAACAGCATTCTGCAGTGATTTTCTTTACCCTTTGCTCATTGCCAGGACACTTTCAAATATAAGAAAGGGCTTTCTTCTCATTTTCAAAGCATCACACAAGATGAACCCCAGCTTCTTCAAACAGCATCAAACTTCAGACCATTATATTAGAATCCGGAATAGTATTGAACCAAAATGACATAAAATTCCTAGAATCCCAGGTTTTGGAACTTTCTATTAAAAAGTATGAGAAAAAGGGAGAGCAAAAACTTCTCACACACTAAAACAAGTACCACAGAAAAACAGTGAGCTTCGACTAGTGTGTACTAAATATAAATTACTTATTTTAGAAATAATGCTAAGGTTAGACATTTTGGTATTTATAAAATTTTAACCATAGTAAATATGTT
Source organism: Homo sapiens (assembly GCF_000001405.40). Taxonomy (NCBI): domain Eukaryota; kingdom Metazoa; phylum Chordata; class Mammalia; order Primates; family Hominidae; genus Homo; species Homo sapiens. The sequence goes on along the minus strand of NC_000004.12, from coordinate 91,903,475 downwards.
TATCTCACATATGACATATCAGGGTATAAAACATCACCCAGTTTGAAAACTGTGCCATCGATTACGTGCAGAATACTATAAAATGTTTTATGTTATATTACATACTTTATTTTATTTTTTTTGAGACAGAATCTCGCTCTGTCATCCAGGCTGGAGTGCAGTGGCACAATATTGGCTCACTGCAACTTCTTCCTCCCAGGTTCTAGTGATTCTCGTGCCTCAGCCTCTCCAGTAGCTGGGACTACAAGCTTGTACCACCATGAAGGGCTAATTTTTGCATTTTTAGTACAGACGAGGTTTCGCCATGTTAGCCAGGCTAGTATTGAACTCCTGACCTCAAGCAATCCACCTGCCTCAGCCTCCCAACATGCTGGGATTACAGGCATGTGCCATCATGCCTGCTTTGTTATATTATATACTTTTATAATATAGGTGTTACACATCTGTACATATATAAATATATATTGCAGGGAATATTGAGAACAAAAGTCAATGCTCTACTTTTATATCAGATTATAAGCTATCAATAATGAAATGTCTCTGAATTTATTCTGTATACCAAAACTATGCTAGGCACAGTGAGGTTGTGTGTAAATACAAAGGGTTGAGTTGCCACGCTGATTTTTGAAAATTATATATGTTATACAACGTCAAACTTTACTAATGACTTCGAGGACACAAGACAGAATCAAGTACAGTTGTAACAATTTCAGGTGAAGTGTCAATCCATCAAACATAGTTTTCAAAACACATCATTTCTCCCATATTATAGATTGTTTTTGGATTCAGATAGATAAGTTCTAAACTATGTATGCAGAAACATTGTTTATAAAGAAAGCTATTTTGTTTTGAGAACTCCTTTTTATATAATTCATTAGTTACACATGTAGAAGAATACATTTTACTCCCTATTTTCCAGCCAGCCAAGCAACATAAACGTGTAGGTTTATTTATAATAAGTGATCTAGACAGACAAGTTATGTCATTCTAAGAAGAAACCTCCACATCCCCTGCTAGCAAATCATATTTGCATGTTTATAAGCAGATCTAGTCAAGACTATTCAAATGTCTCCCTTGTAGCAAAGGGTGAATTACTGGCTGAAATTAGCCCTTTTCTTTCCACAGGGGAAAAAATATATATATATGTATATAAGATAAAGTACTTATGAATAAAGGTTTTAAAAGTTACAATACTCATGTTTTTAAATTATGTGCATGGAAATATAGACATGAAATATAGATAAATCAATTAACTAACACAGATTTATGTATTATTTTAATACTGTAATAATAAAGTGCTAAATATTATATAAATACAAGTTGAAAAGAGAACAATAAATATTAACATGACACATGTTATAAAGAAAACATACAAATAATTGAAAGAGGGAAAGTTATTTTCTCCAGGAACAATTCATCGTTGATTGAACAACTTCTATGACCAGGCAATATCAGATAATAGATTTATACCCAGAAACACTTGAAATAGGAGCTTGAATATGATGCTAGGCATCAAAGGATGCATATGACTCAGGCAGAGAGAAAGATATGCAGGCAAAATAAAGATGTATGTCTGTATGTGTGTTGATAATGCATGATAGGAAGAATATAGTGAAGATCTAAACTTACTGGAATGAGGTAACTGGCATTAGAAGTAGAATAAAATTATACAAGTAATGTGGCACTAGATCGTGAAGGAACCTGATAATTATACTAAAAAATTGATATTTTTTGTAATCAAAGTTAGAGAATAATATGTATGATTTTCAGCAGGGGCTTACCATGACAGTTGTGGTGTTTAATTGGCAGCTTTTTGTTTTGTTTTCAGTTTTTGGAATAGAGATTGTATGAGATCACTTTGAAGACAAAAAGTGTTGCTAATAGCAACAGGTGTTAGGTAAGAAGAGTTTGCTTAAGGACTAAATCCAGAGATATTGAGAAGGAAAGATGGACAGATTTTAGGTTGTGGTTTAATATAGAGCAGAAGGAAAGGCAACGGTGACTTCAAGTTTCTAGATTTTCAGTGTTAAGGAAAGCAGAAGGTAAGCAGAATCTATGGATGGATCAATAAGGCCAAGATGTGTATATTTAAGAACTGCCCTTTGGGGTAATATATTTGTAAAAGAGTCTACCAAATAAACTAGGAGAGATAGTCCTCAAAGCTGTTCATGAGGATATTGAGTCAAAGTCATACTATGGGAAACAGAAAAACATGCAATGTTCTGAAATCAGAGGAAGATTTAATAATGGAGTGAACAGTGAGATTAATAAATACAGTAGCGGAGTATACTGCAAAGAATGAAGTATAAAAAGTAGGATAATTCAGAAAATTAAGTTTGAATAGAAAATGAGACTGGGGGCAGCCTTCAAATAATGGACCCTAGAATGGGCCAGTGAAATGGAGATGACTTCAGAGAGTATCATCATGAATTGAATATTGAGGATTCCAGATTTGTCAGTTAATGAGAGAGAAGTTAATGAAGTCATATTAGAGGATGCATTTCTCACAGCAGCAAGAATGACGTTGGAAGAGTGGAAGAAAGGGCCTATGTCTGAGCGATTCCCATAATGCCAACTACCAGAAAAAAAGAAGAGCCAGGAAAACAGAATAAGAGGAATCATTGAGTCCTATCATCCATACAATGTAAATATGTATATTTTTAAACATTTGTTATAAAACTGAATCCCATAAGAAATATTGCTAATTCCCTGAGGACCTAAATCCTTGGGAGAGGCTCAGGAGGTCCACAGAAGCCATCAGGGCTGCTTTACTTTTACATTAGTTACTGAGTGAGGATATATGACATGAGAGTAACCAAAATAAGAATTTTGGCTTTTGAATTTAGACAGTTGTTCGATGATCTGTTGAGTGGATTCAAGGTCAGAGAGGACTAAAAATATACAGGTTTTTTTGAGAGATATTTTAAGTAGTTTTATTTCGAAGGATCCCATCTTAGTTTAAAATAAATGATTTTTAAGTAGATTTTGTCATAAAAATTAGAAAAATTACTTAATTTCTCATTACATCTACGTAGCCTTAAAGTTTAGGTGAACATGAAATTAATAGTGTCTATCAACTGAACATGTTTTCAAAGAAAACAGAATTAAAAGTGTGTGTGTGCTTTCATAGACATAAAATAAACCTTGCATTTTAAACTCTACATTTTGCTAAATTATATATATATTTATGTTCATTGATCCATCACCACAGTCAGAATAATGGGCACAGAAATCATCCCAAAGTTTCCTCATGTCTTTTCATAATTCTTCCTTCAACCCTTCCCCTCCCTCTTCCCCCACCTAGCCCAAGGGAACAACTGATTTATTTTCTATCACAATACATTCCTTTGCATTTTCTGGAATTTTATATAAATAGCATTATTTTGAGGTGATGGATCTGGTCACACTTGATATCTTAAAAATATTTTATCTTCTGACATATGAACATGCTATGTATCGTCATTTATTTAGATCTTTTAAAAATATCTTTCAGCAATGTTTTTTCATTTTCATACCCATGTCTATAACAACTATTATAACATTTATCCTTGAGTGTTTCATGATATTGGTGCTACTGAAAACACTATGTTTTTACTGAATTTTCAATTGTTCTTTGTTATTATTTAAAAATACAATTGATTTCTGTACTTTTGTATCTTGTAATGTTACTAAACTCATTAGTTCTAGTGGATATCTTGTAGTTTCTATCAAATTTCCTGCACAATCAATTATCTAGCCCACAAATAAGAGAAAATTTTACTCCTCTCTTTCTAATCTATATGCTCTTAAAATATCTTATTTTCTTATTTCACTGTCTACGATCTCCAACATAAAGCTAAATAGAAGTAGTGAGGGCGGATATCCCTGACTTGCTATTTATATTAGCAGAAAATATTCAGACTTTCACCATTATATATGGAGTTAGCTGTAGGGATGTTTTTGTAGATATTCTTTCACCATTATATGTGGAGTTAGTGGTAGAGATTTTTTTCGTAAGGGAATTTAGGAAGTTCCCCTATATTTCTAGTTTACGGAAATTTTATTAGAAATCAGTAAAATCTAGATTTGGACAAATGCTCATATTAATATCTGTCCTTTGTTATTGCAGTGAATTATATTGATTGATTTTTAATTGTTAAACTCTGCCTCATGGAATAATCCCCACATGCTCGTGACGATTATCTCCTTTATATATGTTAGATTATAACTGCCAAAATTTTATTCAGAATCTTTATATCTACCTTCATGAGAGATACTGATATGCAGTTTTACTTGCAATATCATTCTATGTTTATATGTGTATAATGATGGCTTCATGAAATGAGTTGGGAAATATTTCTAATTCTTCAGTTTTCCAGAAAACTTTGTGTAGAATAATATTATTTATTTCTTAAATATGTCATAAAATTCACAAATGAAGACATCCTGGCCAAGAGTTTTCTTTGTTGAGAGGCTTTTAACTATAATTTGATTGCACTAATTTAGACTATTAATTTATTTCTTTTTTTGGTTTCCTGTCTTTCAAAGAGTTTGTTCTTTTCATCCAAGTTATGGAATTTATTAGCCTAAAATGGTTCATTTTCTTATTATCTTTTTAATCTATATAGAAGCAGCAATTATATTATTTCTATTATTTCTGATATTAGTAAGTATATTATCTTCTTTTTTACCCATTTCAGTCTGATCTGATATTTGTCAGTTGTTATTGATCTGCTCAAAGAACAAGTTTTTAGTTTCATAGATTTTTCTCTATTTTTTTCTATTTCATTAATATTTGCTTAAACCTTTATTATTTATTTTCTTCTACTTGCTTGATTTAAAATTTTTCATTTTCTCCTAGATGCTAGGTCTTTAATTTAAGCTTTCTTACTTTATAGGCCTTTATTAGTATATATTTCTCCCAATAACTCTTTTAGTAGTAATCTACAATTTCAGATAGATTATGAATTTATTTACATTTCTTCAAGAATGCATTCTGTTTTTTAAAATTCATTCTATGACTCTATTTATATTATTTAGTTTCTAAACATTTAAAGATTTTCAAGAATTTTTCCTGCTATTGATTTCTAATTTATTCTACCAGTGATCAGAAAACATAATTTGTATGACTTGAATCTTTTGAATTTATTGAGACTTCTTTTATGATGGAAAATATGAGGGATATTGATAAATGTTTAGTGAGTACTTGTATCCCGCTCTTGTTTAGTGGAATATTCCACAATTGTCAATTACATCAGGCTTATTGGCAGTGTAGATGACATCATCCATATACTTACTGATTTTCTGTCGACTTCCCTTATCGAATGTTGATATGGTGCATTGATATCTGATTATAAAATAGATAAGCTTTAGACTTATCTATTTTTAATTGCAGTTAGAACAGTTTTTGTTTAATATAATATATTCTGAGGCTCTGTTATTTGGATGCATATTCATTTATCATCCTTATATGCTGTTGATGAGTTTATGATGCAGAATATGGTAGATTTGGTAAATGTTCAGTGAATGTTTATAAAGTGTTTCCTGCTGTTATCAGGTAGAATTTTATCACTTTATCAATATGAAATGACTTCCTTTATCCCTAATGCTACCCTTTACTCTGAAATTTAATTTTTATATTAATATAGCCACTGCAGCCCTCTTTTCCTTAGTATTAGCATATTTTTTCTTTTTCAATCAATTTACTTTCAGATTGTTTGTTTCCTTATATTTGAAGTACATTTCTTGTAGACTATATATTGAGTATTGCTTTGTTATATAATATATCTCGGCCTTTTAATCGAGAATATTTAGACCATTTATAGTTTACATGATTCTTGATATGGTTTAGTTTAAATTTATCATCCAGCTATTGACGTACATTTGACTCATCTGTTCTTTTTCTTTAACTTTCTCCTGTTTTTCTGCCTGCCTTTGGATTAATTGATTTTTTATGATTATTTTATTTTATTTGCTGTTTTCTTATTACTGTAACTCTACCTTTTATTATTCAAGTGGTTGCTTATAGATTTATAGTATATATTTAAGTTTATAGTATATATCTTTAAGTTATCACTATCTACTAGTGAACGTACACTACTTTGCCTATATAAGAACATGAAAAATGCATATTTCCATTGCTCTCCTCCCAACTTTTGTGCTGTTATTGTAATATGTTTTTCTTTTATGTAAATTATAAGCCTCTGACTGCATTTCTATTATTTTCATTTAAACAGTTAATAAACTTTGTAAAAGATTAACTAGACAAAATCTTATATATTACTCATTAAGTCACAATTTGTGGTTCTCATGAATTTTGTTTTCACTACTGGGTTCATTTTTATTGATTTATTTTCTCCTCTTTATGTATTACATTTTCCTGCATTCTTTAGAAAAAATCTTGTATATTACTCATTAAGTCACCATTTGTGGTATTCATGAATTTTGTTTTCACTTCTGGGTTGATTTTGAAGTTATTTTCTCCTCATTATGTATTACATTTTCCTGCATTTTGCATGTCGGTCTAGCAGGCGCTAGACATTCTGTATTTCACCTTCTTAGATGTAGAATATGTTTGTATTCCAATAAATATTCTTGAGCGTTGTTTTGGAATGCAGTTAAGCTACTTAAAAATAGTTTGATCTTTCTAGTATGGTCTCTAAGATATTTTAAGTGGGATAGGAACAGTGTTCAATTTAGGGCTAATTATTCTCCACTACAGAGATAAGATATTTTTATATAATCTGTCCAATTATGAGATTTTCCAATCTTGTGTGAGTATCAGGCACTGCTTTCTTTGAGTGTTCCTCCAATCCTCAGCTTTGTTTAGTTTTCTCAAATTCACATGCTGATCGCATTCAGCAAAATATTCAATGGAGAGCCTCTGCCAATCTTCAGCGTTTGCGGTTCTCTCCTCACCAGCTTTCTGTCTTCTGAATTGTAGTCACTTTGTTTTACCTGGAATCTCATAACTCTCCTCAACTCATGGACTCTGCTGGACTCTACCTGATTCTCCTTTTCTTAACTGTGATCTAGAAACTCTCTCATGGCAATGAGCTGAATTAATTCATCAATTCTACATTAATAAAAAAGTATATATATAAAAAACATTCTTTTTCTCAAGAAGGTTACTCAATGACATTGAAAAAATATATAGATAAAAATTATAAGAGAATATGACAAATTCTATGACTAATGCATGCCAAGGATGCATGGGAGAACTGGGTGCCTAATTTATATTTCTGGGTCAAGAAATGATTTTTGGAGGAGTATTGAGCTGAGTCTTAAAAGACAAGCATTGGAGAAGAAAGAGAGTGAGGAAGAGATGTTTTATAAAGGGTGATTAACGTGTTCAGAACCATAGAGGTGAAATACATTTGATATGGCTAGTGTATTAATTGCATTTGGAGAAACAACATGATATGAAGCCTTGGAGGGAGCAGTAGTCAGAAAAAGAACTATGTGCTAAAATATTAGTCTATATGTTAATAATTCATCCTAAAAGTTTTGAGGAACCAGTAACAACTTTAAGGAGGAGAATAAAATAACAAAATTTACATTTTGTGATATTATTATGGAATTAAAAATGATTAAGACCCTAGTGTGAGAATTAAGTAGGAAGCTTTTGTAGTAGTGCAGTGATGAGACATAAACAGACTGCTAAGGCATTGTAAATATTAGGAAAGAAATAGAATTGAAATGTAATAAGAGTAGAAATAGACAGGATTTGGTGAAAAACTGAATTTGGATAGTAGAGCAAAGGAAGAAATGGCTTAGGAGACCAAATAGATGAGGGTACCATTCATGGAAACAGACACTAAGGAAAGGGGCAGGGTGCTGTGGAAGGAAGACAAGCAATTCTGACCTGCTTGGTAGATTTAGAGTTACCTTCATGGAACTCCTAAGCCCTTCTTACTTGCTGGTAAAATATTCTTTCCTGACAAAACACAGTAGCTTTACAAGTGTTTCTATAGAAGTATCCCGAAATTTCACTGGGTTCTAGCAATTGGAGCTGCTATGGGATTAACAGGAAGACACCCCTCACTCTATAAAGAATCATGGAGGAGAAATTGCTGTATTAGTCAGGGTTCTGTAGAGGGACAAAATTAATGGGATTTTATATATATATATATATACACACACACACACACATTTAATAAACTATATATTATATGTAATATATTATATTAATATATTATATATACTATATAATAATATATTGTATATTATATATAACAATATATTTATATATTATGTGTTATACATTATATTATATCAACATATACATTAATATTATATATTAATATATTAATATCATGTATTATATATAATATTATAATACATATATAGTAATATAATATATAATATATCAATATAAGATAAGATAACATATAAAATATTATATATTATATTAATATATAATATATAAAATATGTGTTGTATTAATATAATATATGTATTAAGTGTATATATGTACTTAATAAACTACACACACACACACACACACACACACACACACATATATATATATATAGAGAGAGAGAGAGAGAGAGGGAGTTTATTAAGTATTAACTCACATGATCAAAAGGTCCCACAACACGCTATCTGCAGGCTAAGGAGCAAGGAGAGTCAGTCGGGTTTCCAAAACTGAAGAACTTGGGGTCTGATGTTCGAGGGAAGGAAGCATCCAGCATGGGAGAAATATGTAGGCTGGGAGGCTAGGCCAATCTCTCTTTTCACATTTTCTGCCTTCTTATATTCTAGCTTACATTCTAGCTGCTCTGGCAACTGATTAGATTGTGCACACCCAGATTAAGGGTGGGTCTGTCTTTCCCAGTGCACTGACTCAAATGTTAATCTCCTTTAGCAACACTCTCACAGACACACCAGGATCAATACTCTGCAAACTTCAATCCAATCAAGTTGACACACAGTATTAAGGATCATAAGTCTACTCCTTGTCAACTCAAACTCATACACATCTCCTGAGATCATACATAATCTTAAAACAAAGACAATAATAAGGTCATAATTATGCCTACCATAACACAACTATCCTTCATACAATCGGAAATGCACCAATCTCCAACACAAATACTATTACATAAAGTTAATAATACTTAAATGCTGATGTGAAGTCAATAAATCTTATGTCACATGATAAAGGGGAAAGCAAATAAAATGAAGATATTTTCTTAGAACAAGTGTATACATGCAGAAACATGTATTTAACAAAAGAAGGAGGAACTACTCATGACAATTACAATCCTTGTTTCTGCAGTGGTCAGGTGGTTGTAGCTGGTATTAATGACTACCTCTTCTATTACCCATTCCATATTCCCTTTGCCTTCAGCAAGCACCTCAGCAGGCCATGGTTGTTTTTTTTTGTCTTTTGTTTGTTTTTTGTTTTTTCCTAGTGGAGTGATGCAAACCTTCATTCCTGAAGGGTCTAGGTCATTTGTAGTCCTGCCTGGATTTGGCTGTTGTAGTTTCCCATTAACCTTAATCACAGGGCATGGTAATACTAAGAGATGCCCTAATGGATCTCCTGTATTCCATGAATACTCTTTCTTACTGATCTTGTTTGTCTGCATCCCCATTTAAATCTCAACTTGAATTGCACGTCCCGAATTTCCACATGTTATGGGAGGGATCTAGGGAGAGGTAATTGAATCATGGGGACCAGTCTTTCCCGTGCTAGTCTCATGATAGTGAACAAGTCTCACGAGAAACGATGGGTTTATCAGGGGTTTCCGCTTGTGCTTCTTCCTCATTTTCTCTTGCCACCGATGTGTAAGAAGCGCTTTTCACCTTCTGCCATGATTCTGAGGCCTTCTCAGCCATGTGGAATTGTAAGTCCAATTAAACCTCTTTTTCTTCTCAGTCTCTGGTATGTCTTTATCACCTGTGTGAAAACAGACTAATACACTTACCTCTGTTGTGGAGTTATAGACCGATTTCAACTTGATAGTCCAAGTCAATCACCACAGCCAACACTGTAATTCCTTCTTAGCCTGTTGACTTAAAGGAATGAGGAGCCCAAAGTGTCCAAGTGGCCATCTTATCTTCCAGTTTAATGGAATCTTGTTATGTCTCCTGGTGGCAGTGTTTCTCCCTCTGGAACTAAGACCTCTAGGCCAGCAGAACATAATGTCATGGGAATAGGAAGCACAAATTTTGCTAGTGGATCACTGGGGTGATGGTGAGTGGTGCCACTTCCACTTCTACCCCTTGATTCCAGGACCCATGAATCCTGGCTATGGGAGAAACAGTGCCATATATTGGATGCTGATTGAGAGCATGCACAGCCTTCTGGAGAACATTGGCCCAGCCCTGGAAAGTATTGTCACCTAGTTGGCATTGTAATTGTGACTTGAAAAGGCCCTCCCACCATTCTATCAATCCAGTTGCTTCAGGATGATGGGGAACATGGTAAGACTAGTGAATTCCATGAGCAAGAGCCCACTGCCACACTTCTTTAGCGTAAAGTGTGTGCCTTGGTCAGAGGCCATTCTGTATGGAGTACCAATATGTGGATAAGGCATTCCGTGAGTCTGTGGATGGTAGTCTTGGCAGAAGCACTGTGTGCAGAATGGGCAAACCCATAGGAATAGTGTCTATTCCAGTGAGTACAAACCTCTGCCCTTTCCATGATTAAAGAAATCTAATATAATCAACCTGCTGCCAGGTAGTTGGCTGATCAACTCAAGGAATGGTACCATACTGAGGGCTCAGTGTTGGGCTCTGCTGCTGGCAAATTGGGCACTCATTAGTGGTCATAGCTAGGTCAGCCTTGGTGAGTGGAAGTCCATGTTGCTGAGCCCATGAGTAACCTCCACCCCTGCAATCATGGCCACTTCGTTCATGGACCCATTGGACAATGACAAGGGTGGCTGGGGAAAGAGGCTGAGTGGTGTCCACAGAACGTGTCATCCTATCCACTTGATTATTGAAATCCTCCTCTGCTCACATAACCTGTTGGTGAGCACTCACATGGGATACAAATATCTTCACAGTTTTTGACCACTCAGAGAAGTCCGTCCACATACCTCTTTCCCAAATTTCTTTGTCACCAATTTTCTAATCACGCTTCTTCCAAGTTCCTGGTCATCCAGCTAAACTATTGACTACGGCTCATTAATTAGTATATAATCACACATCTGGCCATTTCTCTTTCCATGCAAAGTTTACAACCTGGTGCACTGCTTGAAGTTCTGACAACTGGGAAGATTTTCCTTCACTAGTGTCCTTCAGGGATGTACTAGAAAGGGGCTGTAGTGCTGCAGCTGTCCACTTTCAGGTGGTGCCTGCATATCATGCAGAACCATCTGTGATCCAGGCCATATCGTGAAAATGGCCATACTGCCCGAGGTAATTTATAGATTCAATGCTATCTCCATCCATAAGGCCAACCAGAAGCAATTTGTCTTCAACTGGAAAGTCCAGCATTGTACATTTTCTATCCTACCTCAGGGGTATATCAACTCTCCAGCTTTGTGTCATAATCTTATTCGGAGACAACTTGATCTCTTTTCACTTCTGCAAGATATCACATTGGTCCATTACACTGATGACATTATGCTGATTGGATCCAGTGAGTAAGAAGTAGAAAACACACTGGACTTATTGGTGAAACATTTGCATGCCAGAGGATGGGATATAAATCCAACTAAAATTCAGAGACCTTCTACCTCAGTAAAATTTCTAGTGGTCCAGTGGTGTGGGGCCTGTCAAGATATTCCTTCTAAGGTATATCTTGTCTTCTCTTTATCTGTCAACTGATCATAAGAAATTCCCCATTAGGCCATGGTGCAGGCTGGGGGAGAAGGCAGAGTGGAGGCCATGGGCACTTGAGCCACTTCCTCATGTAACTTGCTTATGCCTTCAGGACCTGCTTGAGCCTGATCATGTATATACCACTTCCATTTGATGATGGAATGCTGCTGCGCATGACCCACTTTATGGCTAGATGAGTCAGAAAGCACCCAGTTCATGATAGGCAGTTCAGGTCACATGGTGACTTTATGACACATAGTCAAACTTTCAGTTTCCACCAAAGCCCAGTAACAGAAAAAGAGCTGTCTCTCAAAGGGAGAATAGTTATCTACAGAAGATGGCAGGGCCTCGCTCAAAAATCCTAGAGGCGTCCACTGTGATTCACTTATGGGAGACTGCCAAACGCTCCAAACAGCATCCCTATCTGCCACTTATATCTCAAGCACCATTGAATCTGCCGATCATATGGCCCAAGTGGCAGAGCAGCTTGCACAGCAGCCTGGACCTATTGCAGAGCCTTCTGCTGTTCTGGACCCCACTCAAAACTGGCAGGCTTTCGGGTCACTGGATAAATGGGCCAGAGTAACACCCCCAAATGACTAATGTGTTGCCTCCAAAATCCAAATAGGCCCACTAGGCATTGTGCCTCTTTCTTGGTTGTAGGAGGGGCCAAATGAAGCAACTTATCTTTTACCTTAGAAGGAATATCTTGACAGGCCCCACACCACTGGACCACTAGAAATTTTACTGAGGTAGAAGGTCTCTGAATTTTAGTTGGATTTATATCCCATCCTCTGGCATGCAAATGTTTCACCAATAAGTCCAGTGTGTTTTCTACTTCTTACTCACTGGATCCAATCAGCATAATGTCATCAGTGTAATGGACCAATGTGATATCTTGCAGAAGTGAAAAGAGATCAAGTTGTCTCTGAATAAGATTATGACACAAAGCTGGAGAGTTGATATACCCCTGAGGTAGGATAGAAAATGTATAATGCTGGACTTTCCAGTTGAAGACAAATTGCTTCTGGTTGGCCTTATGGATGGAGATGGCATTGAATCTATAAATTACCTCGGGCAGTATGGCCATTTTCACGATATTAATTCTTCCTACCCATGAGCATGGAATGTTCTTCCATTTGTTTGTATCCTCTTTTATTTCATTGAGCAGTGGTTTGTAGTTCTCCTTGAAGAGGTCCTTCACATCCCTTGTAAGTTGGATTCCTAGGTATTTTGTTCTCTTTGAAGCAATTGTGAATGGGAGTTCACTCATGATTTGGCTCTCTGTTTGTCTTTTGTTGATGTATAAGAATGCTTGTGATTTTTGTACATTGATTTTGTATCCTGAGACTTTGCTGAAGTTGCCTATCAGCTTAAGGAGACTTTGGGTGAAGGACATGAACAGACACTTCTCAAAAGAAGACATTTATGCAGCCAAAAAACACATGAAAAAATGCTCCCTGGCGATTCCTCAGGGATCTAGAACTAGAAATACCATTTGACCCAGCCATCCCATTACCGGGTATATACCCAAAGGACTATAAATCATGCTGCTATAAAGACACATGCACACGTATATTTATTGCGGCACTATTCACAATAGCAAAGACTTGGAACCAACCCAAATGTCCAACAATGATAGACTGGATTAAGAAAATGTGGCACATATACACCATGGAATACTATGCAGCCATGAAAAATGATGAGTTCATGTCCTTTGTAGGGACATGGATGAAATTGGAAATCATCATTCTCAGTAAACTATCACAAGGACAAAAAACCAAACACCGCATATTCTCACTCATAGGTGGGAATTGAACAATGAGAACACATGGACACAGGAAGGGGAATATCACACTCTGGGGACTGTTGTGGGGTGGGGGGAGGGGGGAGGGATAGCATTAAGAGATACACCTAATGCTAAATGATGAGTTAATGGGTGCAGCACAGCAGCATGGCACATGTATACATATGTAACTAACCTGCACATTGTGCACATGTACCCTAAAACTTAAAGTATAATAATAATAAAATAAAATAAAAGACAATCGGGGCAATCTTAACAGATTTGAGGCTGAGTATCTGCTTCTGAAGCCGGCAGATAGAATTCCTGAGTTCATAATTTTCTTTTATCACTTTCTCTACTGAACTTGGGAGCAACCAACCAGCTTCATTATATTCCTTGTTTCTCCACATATGATCAAAGCTATTGTGGATAGACAGACTAAACTCCTCACCTCTCACAAGTGATGATTCAGGAGTGTCAAATGCATTTATCTTGCATAACTCTCTAAACAATTCACACCAAGAACTATCAGTGCTCTCCATACTATTAGAAGTAGGGCCCTTAGCATTTTTGGGTCTAATCATATTAAGCAGCCAACTCCAGAAACCCCAAAACCAACTAAAGAACTTCATCCTTAATATTCTGTTCCTCAAGAACCACTCCTGGTACCAAAATCTGTATTAGTTGGAGTTCTCTATTAGGGACAACACTAACGGAATATATATATATAAATAAAATATATATATAAAATATTGATATATATGAGAATATATATATTTGTGTGTGTATATATGTGCACATGTATATGTGTGTGCATGTGTGTGTGTATATATATATGTATATGAGAGTTATTAAGTATTAACTCACACAATCACGAGGTCCCACAATAGTCGGTCTGCAGGCTGAGGAGCAAGGAGAGTCAGTTTGAGTTCCAAAACTGAAGAACTCACAGTCTGATGTTCAAGAACAGGAAGCATCTGGCACAGGAGAAAGATAAGCTGAGAGGCTAGGCCAGTCTCTCTTTTCATGTTTTTCTGCCTGCTTATATTCTAGCCCTGCTGGCAGCTGATTAGATTGTGCCCCATCCAGATTAAGAGTAAGTCTGTCTTTGCCAGCCCACTGACTTAAATGTCAATTTCCTTTAGCAACACCCTCATAGACACACCCAGGATCAATACTTTGTATCCTTCAATCCCATCAAGTTTACACTCATTATTAACCATAATGGATGCCTTCAACTTTCTCCCTTTGCAACAACCCTATGTCAACACAAGTCTTGGATTTTCAAGTTATGAGGGTCAAATCTGAGAATCAAAGTCAACACTCTTAGATTAAGAAAGATCTCTGGTTTTTGATAACGTATTTGAATTACTTTACCAACATTGAAACTGCTATTGCTCTGGGCATCTTTTTTTCTGTTAGGTAATGCTTATCCACATTATTTACATTACTTTTAATATGATATTTTCTTTCTTTGCTGCTAAAAAATTTCTGATAGAGAGACAAAGGCTGGACACCTGGAAAAGCAGAATATGTTAGACTACAGATTTAAAATACATTAGCGCCTAAATGACAAAGACATTATTCCATATAATACATTATTTAACATCATAAATACACGTTTTGTCTAATCAATGTGATATCTATTCTACTCTCCCTTAGTTTACCTTCCTGTAATAAAGAGATTGGATACATAGAAATTGCATTTTCCAAACTCATCCAGATTCAGGTTTCCACATATGATTTAGGTTTGGCTGATCATATGTGCACACAAAATATTGGAAGACATAAGTGAGATGGAGGCCATATGGCAGCTTCTTTTGCTATTCACCTGGCAAATGTGGGCATTAAGGCACTTGCTTTTGGTGAAATGAAATCAACAGCTGTTCCATAGTTCAATAACTGGCTCCATGAGTGTAGAAACAGGATACAAACACTGGTTTTGCTGGTGCAGCTTCTAGTAGGTACAGTGTGGTTCCAGAGACAAGAACAGAAGCTGTAATTGATTTTTATCATGATAGTGTCCTGATTGTCTATAGGCGTGTGATTTCCGAACTATGGTGGGTTTTTATTTTGTCAGTTTCATTGATTGTGACAGTGTTAGTGTAGTTCTAGAACCTACAAGTTTATGATGTTAAAGGAAAGTTTCTTAGCATACTTGGTATGGTTTGGATAGTTGTTCCTGAAACTTAACCTAGTATCCCTTCTTCAGTCTTCAGTCCCCCTCTACCCCTACTGATTTATTGAGCCTTTTTAATGTTCAACAATAATTCATATCAATAGATCCATAATAGGATATAAAAACATTCTATTAATATCTTTTAATATCCTTAAACAAATTCCCTCTTTCTTAAGCTAGCTAGAATGGAATACCGTTTCCTATAGCTTAACCCTGACTAATACCAAAAACAGGATTTATTTATCAGCCATTACACATATTTCACATTAATTTTGTGTCTTCTCTGAGTATATCATTTTTCTTGTATCTAATAAAATGCAAGGCACATAGAAATTCTTAATATTATATAGATATATAAATAGAAATAAATCTATATACAATTTAGTATCATATGCACATAAATATTTTTTAAGTTTCCAAATATTCTCTTCTAGTTGAATATAAAAATGGCAAGAAAAATCATGCTAAACATTCAATGTGAAAGTTTTATGAGAAAACATGAAAGGTGAACTCTTGGCATTTGAAGTATTAAAGGTATACAGACATTCCTTTGAAGAAGGCAAATGTTATACAATATATGCATTCTTCAATGACAAATTTACATGGTGTCAAAATAACATTCAGGCTGTGATTAAATTGGCAAATGTAAGCACAAGTGACCAAGCTGATTTCATTGTATGTTTGTCTACTGTTTTCAAAATATATTTTTTTACCAACTTGTGAAGAATTTCTATTCCTAAGCCTTCCTGTTGACCATCTTTGGTGTAAGTTTACAGCTGTTCCTTAACTTAGTGTAGACAAATTTTGGAAAGAAAGGAAGAGTCTACAAAGACAAAATTTGAAATGTTATCCACAGGTAGTCTTAGCTTGATCATTAATTCACTTCTTAACAGCTATTAATCTACTAACTATTAATCAGCTAGCTATTAATAACAGCTATTTATCTATTAATAGTCCTACATCTATTATGACATGGGTCTGCTCTTATACTTAGGCAGAGTAGGTGTCTTTCAATCTACTTTTACCTGAGGAATTAGGAATCATTGTCAAGCACTTGATCTTTGTGCTTTGACTACATGGGTTCAAATCCCAAGTCTATCACTTAATAACCACATGAACCTGGGTAACTTACTTAACTATTCTGAGGCTGAATGTCTGTATCTATTAATTATCTATAAATTCTTCTGCATCTATTCATATTTAATAATAGTTTTAGTAGGTTAAATAGTTATAGTAGGGTGCATAAAGATTAAATACAATTCTTATTCTCCCAAAGCATTTAGCATATGCTTTTCATATAGAGGTAGATTAAATAAGGGCTAGTTTTTAGACTTACTGTGTTGCATTTTTGGACATCCTCATTCAAAATATCTCTCCCATAGGCCTGCCAGCATTACCAATCAACAATTTTAGCATTAACCCATCTAGGCTGTCTAAATAAGATATGTTTAAAATTCACTGAGGCATTAATTTAGACCCAATGCATTAACTAAATTATTTGCTCTAACTGCAATATTTACCTTTCAGAAAATGATGAGAATATGGTGCAGTTGTATACATTTTGAATAGGACAAAGGAGAGAAAGAACATCTGGTAAGTGCAGGGCTATAAGAGACATAAGTTTTCAGAAAATGGAGAAAAGATTGGCCACTGGAAAAAATTCTACCTGATTCAACATAATGTTAATAGGATTTTGAATGTCTAAACAATATTAACTGAAAATTATATTAAGAAAATATTATTTTAAGTACTTACAAAACTATTTTAATGCATAATAACTACCAGTGATATCTTATTTGATATTTCATATATAAATGTTAAGAATAATTAATCTGATAATCAAATTTACAAGATGTTCTTCTTATCCAATCATATGTGCTGTATATTTACACAGAAAGGTTATAATAATTTCAATTAGTCTTCTAGTTGACTTTTTTGTGTTCCTTTGGCAAGACTTAATTAATTTTCAATAAATTGCTAAGGAGCACTTATTAAGGTATAGCAGGTATTACAGAGGCACTGAATATATTAATTTCTTATGACTTGAGTTATTAATATATTTATTCCAGCAAGGTTTTTAGACAATTAATTAAAAATATTTTCAAAGGTAGTATATTGCAACGTACTTAAGATAATTACCAAAGTAAGACACCTTAACAACAACAACAACAAAAAAAAAAACAGAAGAAAAAAGAAAACAAACCTTGGTTGTGGCAATTTTGTTGAACAAACAAGTATCTTTTTTACACCAGATAAAGCTGCATTAAAAAAATCATTCTGATTTCTAATATTGTTTGGCACTATCAGCTACAGTTTAGGTTTCATCATAAATGGTGCACTGCTATTACCGTAAATGTGTTATGTTCTGATAATGTGGTCAGTAACTAATGTCACCACATGAAGAGACTGTTTGAGATATGACTTAATTACCTTGCACCTCCATTTGCACTTCCTTAAATATGTTTAATCATAATTTTCAAATATCATTCTCAATTTCAAATTCTCAAATATCATTAATTTCTTTCTTGAAATAAAATATTTATGAAGCCCAGCTGGGTAATATGTGCGTTGACAGCGAGAGGCAGAACAAGGAGTACCAGGGGGTTATGGACTTCACCTCACAGCTGGAGTAGGAGATCTCTCTGTATTGCAACCAGCTAGAAGGCCAGGAATATTGCTACAACAACCTGCCCAACTCCAAGGTCCTCTGAGTGGCAGGCTCCTGGGTTTCTGCTCTCCTTCAGGGGGAGTCCCTGGGTTGGGGAATAGGAATTGAAGGACCCTTACCTCTGGCTCTTCACTGACCTGCCAATAAAATAATATGGCCCAAGGAAAAAAATTAAAATAATAAAAATAATCAGATAATAAAATGAAATAAAATACAGTAAACATTTTATTTTATTTTAATATCTACTTTTTTAATTTTTCGACCCTGCTTCTCTTCTAGGGTCCAATTTCATTAATATCTTTGCATGCTGAGCATGTGTTCTAGACAGTGAGAAGTAAATTAATGTAAATAAATGCTTGCACAAATTAATATTGTTTAGATTGATTTAGAACATATTTGTTATGGCTAATATCAGAGTGTGCTTTACTTCTTCATAGAAAGTTAGAAGTTAGAGTTCAAAAAACGTGTGATCAGAGAAATTTATTGACTGAACAAAGAAATCTTTCAGTTTTCAGAAGGAGATTAAAAGGACTTGTTCAAGGTAAAAAAAAAAAGCACAGCATGTATTAAACGAGGTTTTCTTATTCATTCCACTTATCTTTTCAATATAATTTGTAGTTTTAAATTGGCTAGTCCACATGATAGTAACAGAAGATAATTATGCTTGTACATGTTCAAAATGTATGATTAGAATTACCTTACTTTTAAAAATTAAGGCCAGAGCATTATCTTCCCATTAAAAATAATTTGATTAGTTTCTAGATTCATGTTGCTATCAGCTTAAGCAGGTACATTATGTTAAAATCTTAAAAGTATCCTATTGAGATTTTCTTTGAAGTAATAAAAATAGATGCTAACAGTATATTTTAAGGTTCTATTTAAGGTGTACATACTTGAAGTGGTGACAATGCATACTATAGAAAATTTCTTTTCTTTTTCTGTTTATGTTCTCTCAATTGTCAAGATTTCCAGACAAAACCCAAAGTTCACACATTACTTTTAGGCAAAATATTTAAAGCATATATTGAGTGAAACTTATATAGGTGCAAATTTTATGGGTCCAGAAGAAAGCTAAAAATTGCAAATCTTTCATTTTATCACTCTTGGAGAAACATATTAAAAACTCTTTTTTATTACAGAAAGTAAATAACATTTTAAAACATTTTGTGTGTTTATTTTCACCAAGATACAAAAACATAGATCTTTGCCTAATAATTATTATTCATGTCTACTGTTAAAATAGGCCAGACAGAAAATATCACAAATCTGGAAGACATGTTGTTTTTTACAGAGAGTGATTATACATTTATATCACAAAGATTCACCTGAAAACATTATGATATTATGGATGACATTGAAGATAAGATTTCTTCCTTATAAAACTACAAAAATATTTTCTTTGTCTCATGATTCTGGCAATCCACAGGAAGATTGAAAAATTACTTGATACCCATAACATTTATTCAATTAATCCATTTGTCTGAGAGGTAGTTATTGGTGATCAAAGAATTAAAAGCATGATTTTGTTCCCCTCAGTTGTTTGTGATGTAGAGATGAATAAAAAGAAAGGAGACGGCTAGAAAGACAGCAAAGTTTTAGAAAATACCTACTCTACGGCAGCCAATACCACAACATAAATTGTGGCCACACCTACACCCATGCCAGCAAATGCTGGATGAGGAGTCTAGAATTCCAATCTTGCCTAGCTGTAACAAGGTGTTTCCAACTTTGCTGGGGTGATATTAGAGGACAAGCAAGGAGCCAGGACTTTCATCTCCTCCAGGAGGTAATAAGGCCTGAGCTGTGCCAAAAGTGAAGACCTCATTGGATCCTGGACTTCCACCTCCATCCAACAGTAATGAGGTATCCTTTTCCCTCCTCCTTCTTGTTGGGGTACTGTCAGAAGAGGCCTAAGAAAGAGTCAGATCTTTTACCAGCAGCCACTATAAATAAGGCCATCACCCGCTCTTCTCATGGTGTCAGTAGAGACCATCAGAGGAGCAGTAATGAAGCACTCTTATCCCTCCCATAAAGGGACATATCATTGGAGGCCTAGTGGGGAGCCAGGACTCTCACCCCTACCTGGGAGTAATGAAGAACCTCCCCCTTCAGTTGTCAACAAAGCTAAGTAAAGAATGTAGGTGTCTATCCACCATGGGAAGTAATGAGCCAGTGCCTCCTCATCTCAGGCCAGAGCAGTTTCAGAAGAAGCTGGCTAAAAGATAAAATTTAAATAAGGTCCAGAGTCTTAAAATATAATGCCCCAAATCTTCAGGTTTTAATAAAAAGGAAATGCATCATAGCAAGAAACAGGAAGATCTCAAATTGAAAGACAGACAACAGTCAATAGATGCCAGCACTACATGACAGAGACATTAGGATTATCTAACAAAGATTTTTAAGCAGCCATCATAGAAGTGATTCAAGGAGCAATTACAAAAATACTTCAAACAAATTAAAAAATGGTCTCACAAAGAAATATAAAGTTTCAGCAAAGAAATAAAATATAAACTAAGAGAACAGAATCAATGAACTGGAAGATAGAACTATTAAAATCATACAGTTTTAACAACAGAGAGAAAATAGACTGAATTTTAAAAGAACCCATGGGGCTACAACAAACAGCTTAATATTCATGTCGTCATGTCCCAGAAGGAAAGGAGAGAGAGAATGGAATAGAAAAAGTACTTGCAGGAAGAGTGACTGAAAATTTCAAATTTGGCAAAAAAAAAAAAAAAAAAAAAAAGAACCTGAAGATTCAATGCTTGAGCAAACTCCAAAGAGAATATACCAAATAAATCCATACCAAGACACATCATACTCAAATTTCTGAAAACTAAAGACAAAGAAAAATTGTTGAAGTCTGTAAGAGAGATGATACTTTATCTATAGGGGAAAACAATTTGAATCATAGTGGGTTTCACATCAGGACTACAGAGACCAGAAAAAAGTAGCACACATTTTTTTAAGTGCTAAAAGAAAAGTGCTATTTACCCATAATCTTATTTCTAATGAAAATAGCTTTTAACAAGGAAGGCAAAATCAAGGCTTTCTCAGGTGAAGGAAAATGAAGGAAGTTTTCCACCAATAGAGCTATCCTAAATGAAGAGCCAAAGGAAGTCCTCTAAACAGTAAGGAGGTGGTAAGAAAAGGATACTAGGAATAACATGAAGTATGAAAAATCACAGTAAGAAAAATATGAGTAAATCTACTACACACCTTTTAGAATAGCTAAAATCCAAACACTGGTAATATCAAATGTTGGTGTAAATGTGGAAAGACAGAAACTCTTATTTATTGCTGGTGGGAATGCAAAATTGTACAACCACTTTGGGAAACAGTTTGGCAGTTTCTTCCAAAGCTAAACATAGTCTTACCATCTGATTCAGAGACTTCACTCCTTGGTATTTACACAAATGAATTGAAAACATGTCCTCACAAAAACCTGCACATGAATATTTACAGCAGCTTTATTCATAATTGCCCAAACTTGGAAGCAACCAACGTGTTTTTCTGTAGGCAAATTAATAAATAAATTTTGGTACATACATCAAATTGAATGATATTCAGTGATAAATAGAAATGACCTATCGGGTAATAAAAAGACATGAAGGAAGAATAAATGCACATTGCTAAGTGAAAAATGTTAGTCCGAAAATGCCACATATTATATGACTCCCACAATTTGACATTTTGAAAAAGTCGAGTATGGAGACAGTAAAATGACCAATGTTTGCTGGGAAGGAGGAGGAGAGAAATAATAGGTTGCAGCACAGGAGATTTGTAGGGTAGTGTAACTATTCTGTATCATACTGTATTGGTGAACATATGTCATTATACTTTTGCTAGCACCTATAGAATGTACAACAGAAAGAGTAAACCCTAATGTGAACTGTGGACTTTAGTTAATTAAAAATGTATCAATATTGGTTCATCAGTTGTAATAAATCAGTCACACTAATGCAAGATGTTAATAATATGGAAAATTGTGTTTCGGATGGTGGTGAGGGGGTATATAAGAATCCTTTTTTACAGCTATTTAATTTTTCTGAAAACCTCTTTAAATATAAAAATATTGGTACATACAATAGACTGTTTCTCTTTTTGACTCTTCTAAACTATTCATATTAGTTAGAAACAGAAACAATACTGGATGTTCTTAAAATGGTGAAATATTAAACAAATGATGGTATGTCCATACCATAGAATACTATTAATATTCAGCCATAAAAAGGAGCAAATTATTTATACATGTGACAATCTGGCTGGCTCACAAGAAAATTATGCTCCTGCATTAAAAAAGAAAGCCAGTGTCAAAATGTTACATACTGCATGATTTCATTTATATAACATTCTTGAAATGACACAATCATTAAATGAAGAACAGATTAGTGTCTGTAAGGAGTGAGGGAGGAAGAAATAAAAACAAGGTCAGAAAATAAAAATTACACGTTTGCTCTATATAAACCCTCACTAAATGAAATGTTTGAAGAATAATTTAGGCAGATATAAAGTCACTCTAAGAAGAGAAAAAGAAAACTCAACAAAGTTAAAAATACATGGATAAATCTAAACAAACTTCAAATATGTATAACAGCAACAATAATTATGTCTTCGGGATGAAAAAAGACTAAATAAAACCACAGAGAGTTGTGAAGAAATGAAGTACTGAGTTATTCTGGAGGAGAACAGAAATAATAGAATCATATCTATTTTATGAGTCAGTTTTTGTACCAGTACCATGCTATTTTGGTTACTGTAGCCTTGTAGAATAGTAGTATAGTTTGAAGTTGGGTGTTACAATGCCTCCAGCTTTGTTCTTTTTTGCTTAGATTTGCTTTGGCTATACAGGCTCTTTTTTGGTTCCACATTAATCTTAGAATAGTTTTTTCTAGTTTTGTGGAAAAATGTTGGGAGTTTGATAGGAATAGCATTAAATTTATAAAGTGCTTTGGGCAGTATGGCCATTTTATTAATGACAATATTGATTCTTTCTATCCATGAGTATGGAATGTTTTTCCATTTGTTAATGTCATCTTTTATTTCTTTCAGCAATGTTTTGTAGTTCTCCTTGTAGAAAACTTTCACCTCCTCATTAAGCTGTGTTCCTAGGTATTTTATGTTTTTTTTGTGTCTATTGTAGGTGGGATTGTGTTCTTGATTTGGCTTTCAGCTTGGATGTTATTGGTGTATAGCAATGATAAAGATTTTTATACATTGATTTTGTATCCTGAAACTTTACTGAAGTTGTTTATCATTTATAGGAACCTTTCTTTGGGGAGTCTTCTACATATAGAATCATACTGTCAGTGAACAGAGATAATTTGACTTCTTTTTCTATTTGAATGCCTTTTGTTTCTTCTCTTGACTGATTGCTGTGGCTAGGACTTCCAGTACCATGTTCAAAAGGAGTATTGCAAGTAGGCATCCTTGTCTTGTTTCTATTCTTAAGGGGAGTGCCTCCAGCTTTTACCTGTTCAGTATGATGTAGGCTGTGGTTTTGTCTTAGCAGCTCTTATTATTTTTAGCATCTTTCTTCAATGACTAGTTGGTTGATGGTTTTTATCATGAAAGGATGTTGGATTTTATAGAAATGTTTCTCTGTGCCTACTGAAGTGATCATATGATTTCTGGCTATTATTTAAAAGAAAAATATAACAGCTGCTGGGAGGCTGTGGAGAAAAGGGGATGTAACTGTTAGTGGAAACATAAATTAGTTCACCCCCTGTGGAAACCAACTGGAGATTTCTCAAAAGTAAAAATTGAAATATCATTAGGCCCAGCAATCCATTACTGGTTATATAAGAAAAGAAGAATAAATTATTCTATAAAATAGACACATACACTTGTATGTTCATTGCAGCATTATTAACCATAGCAAAGACATGTAGTCAATGTAGGTTCCCACTGACAGTGGGTTAAATAAAAAAAATGTGGTACATATATATCATGGAATACTATGCTGCCACAAAAAAAGATAGAATATCCTTTTGCAACAACATGGATTCAGCTGGAAGTTTTCATCCAAGCAAATTAATGTAGGCATGGAAAACCAAATACCACATGTTCTCATTTATAAGTGGGAGCTAAACACTGGGTATATATGGACATAAAGACAGGAACAATAGACACTGGGGACTACTAGAGGGGAAAGGGGAAAAAGGCTGAAAACCTACCTGTTGGGTACTATGCTCACCACCTCAGTGATGGGATCTCTCATACCTCAAACTTCAGCATCACACAATATATGCATGTAACAAACCTGCACGTGTACCACTGGATCTAAAATAAAAGTTAAATTTATTTAAAAAAGGAAAACTTGAAAGACTGAGAAAAAGAGAAAACAAATGTATTTATTCACACTCATTAATAATCATGATAAATACATATTAAAACATCAAATTATGCCATTTCACACACTTACAACATGAAACAACAAAGCAGTTAACAATAGGTAAGTAATTTGAACATTTCTGCATTTCTTGGTAATGTGAATTGGTACATTTATTTGGAATTCTATTTGTCTTTTTCTAATGAAATAAAGTTGTGGCTACCTCAGGTCCTAGCATTTGTACTCCTAAGGACATACTCTTCAGCCTTGTTACTCTAAATGTGGTTTTTGGAGCACTGTATTGGCAACTTCTTGTACTTTGCTGGAAATGAAGAATTTTACTCCATCTCTACTATGGAATAAGAATTCTTATTTTATCATTTGCCATCTATAAACCTGCTGTAGATTAATGTGTCACAGACTTTTCTTATGACATACATTGAAAATTCTATTTGTAAGGACACACAATTAAACCCATTATACAAACAGTGATACATTTCCTAGGTCTTTTCAAGGCTGACTCTTCACCAGTGCTTTTGATAATGATGACACAAAACTCTGTAGTCTAAAAGAAAATAATAAATTCAATAGCATATTTAAAAATCATTCTGAATGGTAAAATAATGGAGAAGTCCAAATATAAATGACAAGCTGAGTTTTAAAATATGCTACCTATTTTTACAGTAAAACATTAATCTCCACGTTATATAAAGAGCACTTTCAAATGATTAAAAGACCAACACATTTCAAGAATTGGGCATGGATATACATAGAAAGAACATAGAGAAACAAATACAAATTGTTGTTAAAAGTGTGAAAAGTCATCGACCTTATTTAGAAAAAAACAATTTTATAAGTTAGGAAAATCAAGAATGTAGTAACTTTGTAGAAGAGAAGGGAGTTAAGAAACATGGTCTCATATATTGTTGGGTAGAGCATAAAGTGTTACAATCTCTATGAAGGAAATTTGATCCTACTTATCAAAAATTCAATTAATAATAATATTCCCTGTACATGGTTAGACATGAGGAATAATATAAGGCAAAAATATTAATAAGATTATTATAACAGAAAAATGTTAGAAAAAACTAAAAGTCCTGTATCAGTCCATTTTCACACTGCTATGAACAAATACCTGAGACTGGGTGATTTATAAAGAAAAAAAGATTTAATGGACTCACAGTTCCACATGGCTCGGGAGGCCTCACAGTTCCACACGGCTCGGGAGGCCTCACAGTTCCACACGGCTCGGGAGGCCTCACAGTTCCACATGGCTCGGGAGGCCTCACAATCATGCTGGAAGGTGAAGGAAGAGCAAAGGCACATCTTATATGGCGGCAGGCAAGAGAGCATGTGCAGGGAAACTGCCCATTATAAAACCATCAGATTTCATGAGACTTATTCACTATCACGAGAACAGCATGGGAAAAACGCCCCCATGATTCAATCACCTTTCACTGGGTCCCTCCCATGACACTTGGGGATTATGGGAGTTACAATTCAGAATGAGATTTGGGTGGGGACACAGGCAAACCACATTGTTCCACACCTGGCCCCTCTCAAATCTCATGTTTTCACATTTCAAAACCAATCATACCTTCCCAACAGTTCCTCAGAGTATTAACTCTTTTCAGCATTAGCTCAAAAGTCCATAGTCCAAACTCTCTTCAGAGACAAGGTAAGTCTCTTCTGCCTATGAACCTGTAAAATCAAAAGCAAGTTAGTTACTTCCTATACACAATGGGGTTACAGGCGTCAGGTAAATACACCTGTTCCAAATGGTAAAAATTGGCCAAAATGAAGGAGCTACAGGCCTATGCAAGTCTAAAATCTAGCTGGGCAGTAAAATCTTAAAGCTCCAAAATGATCTTCTTTGACTCCATGTCTCACATCCAGGACACACTGATGGAAGAGGGGGGCTCCCATGGTCTTCGTCAGCTCCACCCCTGTGGCTTTGCAAGGTACATCCCCCCTCCTGGCTGCTTTTATAGGCTGGCATTGAGTGCCTGCAGCTTTTCCAGGTGTACTGTGCAAGCTGCTGGTGGTTCTACCATTCTAGAGTCTGGAGGACCATGGCCCTCTTCTCATGGCTCCACTAGGCAGTGCCCCTGTGGAAACTGAGTGTGGGGTCTCCCACTTCACATTTCCCTGCTGCACTGCCCTAGCAGAAGTTCTCCATGAGGGCTCCGCCCCCTGCAGCACACCGCTATCTGGACAGCCAAGTGTTTCCATACATCCTCTCAAATCTAGACAGAGGTTCCTTAACCTTAATTCTTTTTTTTTTTTTTTTTTTTTTTTTGAGATGGAGTCTCGCTCTGTCGCCCAGGTGCAGTGGTGCAATCTTGGCTCACTGCAAGCTCTGCCTCTAATTCTTGACTTCTGTGTATCCAAAGGCCCAACACCACATGAAAGCCATCAAGGCTTGGGGCTACCACCCTCTGAAGCAACAGCCTGAGCTGTAGGTTGACCCCTTTTAGCCATGGTTGTGACGCAGGGCACCTAGTCCTATGACTGCACAATGCAGCAAGGTCCTGGGCCTGGCCCACAAAATCAATTTTTTCCTCCTAGGTTTCCTGGTTTGTGATGGGACGGGCTGCTGTGAAGACCTCTGTCATGCCCTGGAGACATTGTCCTTATTGTCTTGGCAATTAACATTTGGCATGTCATTACTTATGCAAATTTCTGCAGCTAGCTTGAACTTCTCCTCAGAAAATGGGTTTTTCTTTTCTGTTGCATTGTAAAGCTGCCAATTTTCCTAACTTTTATGCCCTGCCTTCTGTTTAAACGTTAGTTCCAAATCCAAACCATATCTCTGTGAATGAATAAAACAATGTTTTTAAGAGCACCCAAGTCACATCTTGAATCTTTTGCTGCTTAGAAATTTCTTCTGCCAGATACCATAAACCATCTGTCTCAAGTTCAAAGTTCCATGGATTTCTAGGGCAGGAACAAAATGCTGCCAGTCTCTTTGCTAAAGCATAGCAGGTATCACCTTTGTTCCAATTCCCAGTAAGTTCTTCATCTCCATCTGAGACAGCCTCAGTCTGGACTTTTTGGTCAAAACCATTCAACAAGTCTCTAGAAAGCTCCAAACTTTCCCACATCTTCCTGTCTTCTTCTGAGCCCTCCAAAGTGTTCCAACCTCTGCCTGTTACCCAGTTCTAAAGTTGCTTGCACATGTTTATTATCTTAATAGCAGTACCCCATTCTACCAGTACCAATTTACTGCATTAGTCAGTTTTCGTACTGCTATGAGTAAATACCTGTGACTGGGTAATTTATAAAGCAAGAGAGTTTGCTCACAGGTTCACATGGCTAGGGAGGCCTCACAATCATGGTGAAAGGTGAAGGAGGAGCAAAGGCACATCTTACATGGAGGCAGGCAAGAGAGCATTTGCAGGAGAACAGCCCTTTATAAAACTATTTTTTCCTCTTAGGCTTCCTGGCTTGTGATGAGAGAGGCTGCCATGAAGACCTCTAACATGTCCTGGAGACATTTTCCCCATTGTCTTAGCAATTAACATTTGGCTCCCTGTTACTTGTGCAAATTTCAGATCTTGTGAGACTTCTTCACTGTCATGAGAACAGCATGGGAAAAACTGGCCCCCATGATTCAATTATCTCTCACCATGTCCCTCCAATGATATGTGGTGATTATGGGAGCTACAATTCAGTATGAGATTTGGGTGGGGACACAGCCAAACCATATCAAGTCCATTGAAAAAATTTGTGTTGAAAAATATTTCAAAGAATTATAGAACATTCATACAGTACTGGTTTGCTCTCACGCTGCTAATAAAGACATAACTGAGAGTGGGTAATTTATAAAGAAAAAGAGGTTAAATGGACTCACAGTTCCACATGGCTGGGAGGCCTCACTGTAATGGTGGAAGGTGAAAAGCACATCTTACATGGCAGCAGGCAAGAGAGAGAATGAGAGCCAAGTGAAAGGTGTTTCCCCTTATAAAACCACCAGATCTTGTGAGACTTATTCACTACCACTAGAATAGTATGGGGGAAATCACCCCCACGATGCAATTATCTCTCCCCAGGTCCATCTCACAACACATGGGAATTATGGGAGCTACAATTCAAGATGAGATTTAGGTGAGGACACAGCCTAACCATGTTACATATTATGTTAAATTGCAGCCAGCATAAAATACTGAGGCAACTCTACATGAACTAACAGGGAATAATTTATAAGATATATTAACTAAGTAAATAAGTAAATAAGTATGATATACAAAACAGAGTTTTGTATTCTATTCAGAAATAGAATACAAGGTAAATAAATTTTAAAGTATATTCTATTAAATGTAATTTTGAAAAAATATAGAACTGTTATTATAAAAATCCCCATATACACAGATATTTATGCAAACTTAAAATACTTTAGAAGGACACATAAGACATTGGTAGCATTGGCTGTTTCTGGGAAGAAGTCAGCACTGCATGGAGGGACCTGGACAGAGCTGTCACTGTCACCTGAGAGACACAGCAAGCCCACAACTACCCTATAGGGACAGATCCCAGAACTGCAGGATTCCTGGGTCCTGCTGGTACTCCACATTTTCTGAAGCCAGTGAAAGCCAGAAGAATAAAAGTGCATTTATGACCATCAGCATATTGGACACATAGCAGGGAGGAGAAGAACAGACAGCTGATCTGCAGGGGCAAAAAGAAGATATCCAGTGTTTGTGTGTTAACTATAACTTTTCTTTCCTAAAACAATAATAATAAATTGTTTATATTTTTAAATAGTGAGCATTCATTTATTTTACTTTAAAACTTGTCACAGGTTTGAAATTTGCACACTAAATTTAGATGTGTAGAAAGTGAATAACTTTACATTCAGTAACTTAGGTAGTTCACTTCTGGAGTCCTCACTTTGTCCTGGCTTTGGATTTGTATTTGCATGGAGCAAAGCAGGGAGGAAAACAGGTAAGTTAAACTTGTAAGTTAATTTTAATTGCTTCCAACGGCATAATAATTGTACAATGGACTTTGGGGACTTGCTGGGGAAGAGTGGGAGGGTGATGAAGGATAAAAGATTACATATTGGGCACAGTGTACACTGCTCATGTGACAGGTGCACCAAAAATCTCAGAAATCACCACTAAAGAACTTATCTATGTAACCAAAAACCACCTGTACACCCAAAACTATTGAAATATAAATAAATAAATAAAAATTACAAAAATATAAAATCATGTAAATACTAATTAAGGAAAGGCCCTAGATATCAGGGCTTTTCTTCTCTGCCTTAAAGTTTGACTTCTCCTCCCTCCTTTATGACTGTGTCTAGGATAAAAAGTTTCTCATCCCGGTTTGTGGGGTGGTGAGGGATGAGAAAGAGGTATGGGAAGCCCAAGAAAATGTTTATAGATCTGTGATCTGTCCTCAAGTCCCTGTTCCTCTTTGCTGGAGTGTAACTGGTATGGCTCCACTGGCCTGATCATTGTGTGTGATATCCATGGATTTAGTTGTCCTTTTAGGATCATAATTGCACCTGTTGCTAATGTTCAAGAGCTCTGACTTATCCTCTAGAATTTTTAGCATGTCTTTCCACTTGTCCAGGTCTCTTCCAGACCAATTATTCCTATAAGGTAAGCCTCTCTGCCTCCTCCAACATACGTTGCAAATACACTTCCCAAACACTATGTTGGACAG
The DNA here is from genome assembly GCF_000001405.40 of Homo sapiens. Taxonomy (NCBI): domain Eukaryota; kingdom Metazoa; phylum Chordata; class Mammalia; order Primates; family Hominidae; genus Homo; species Homo sapiens. Next base: position 91,873,084 of record NC_000004.12, on the reverse strand, counting down.
GGCACTATGCATACACAACTTCTTTTCTTATGCCCTAGAAAGCAGGATTCCTCATATACAACAGGATAACTCTACAACTCCTGTTTCCTGAAGTTTGTCCCAACTATGAGGAATCCAGACTATCCTAATCTCATCTCCTGCCTTTATTCTATTTTCTCTCTTCTTGAGCTATCTCCCTCAGATCAAGTACACAGTACTTCAAAGGCTTTCTTCTTCTCATAGGCTGGGATTGTTACTCATATCCTTAACTTTCTCCTATGCTATGAATTTTTCTATGGAAAACTTTTTAAACTTCATCCTAGATATACATTTGGCAAATGACAGAGTTTATAAATCTCCTTTTAATTTATTTTTATTTTAATTTATTCTATTCTATTTTTTGATACAGGGTCTCTCTGTGTCACCCAGGCTGGAGGTCAATGACGCCATCACCTCTCATTGCCGCCTCAACCTCCTGAGCTCAAAGGATACTCTCGCCTCAGCTCCTCAAGTAGCTGTAACCACAGGCATGTGGTCATTTTTTTCTTAATTTTGTAGAGTTGGGGGTCTTCCTATGTTGCCCAGGTTGGTCTCAAACTCCTGGGATCAAGCGATTTTTCCGCCTCAGCCTCCCAAAGTGCTGGGATTACAGGTGTGAGCCACTGCACCCAGCCCACTTTTGTTTTTTAAAAAATAAATTTTCAATAATCTCAGTATTGAATTAACAAACAAATATATGGAAGCCTAAATAGATGTTAGAATAATAACTAAGAATATTGACCATTTTTGTGTTTTCTCTTGATATCACTCATCATTTTTTTTAAAGTAAGAATACATGGTTGATTTTGTAAAGTAAAATCAATATAAAATTAAAGTATTGATTTCTGATGCAAAGAACATTTACAAATATAATTGAACATCCAGTTGAAAAATTTAAACAAGAGATTTTATTCTATAAATTGTTCTACATTGAATTTCCACAAAATTATATGCATGGATTCTCTGAACTAGGTTAAGTAATTGGTGAATTAATTCCTAACTGTAAGTTTGAGTAGAAGAAAAAATATGTCCATGCCATGCAATTTCATTAATGCTACTGGTCTTGTTACATCGTTCTACTTGTCCCTTTATAATGAGATGTGAATTTTCTGTTTGGGTTTTTATAATGAGCAAAGATACTTTACAAAATAAGCACTTGGTTTTGCTTCCTTATGCTTTCAATGTTGTTGAATTCATTTTTAAAAGGAAACTTGAAAAGCAGGAGATATCCATTAGATTTTGGAACTTGGTTATTGCAGAGACATTTATTTTGTGAGCCTTGTAGCAGAACTGTCTGGGAACTGATAGCCCAAGGTCAAGCTTCAGTCTTCTCTGGAAAGTAAACAATGAATCTTTTTGAAATATTTTGTCAGAAAAACAATTGTTTCCTGCTGAAAGGACATGAGTATAGAATGTGTCCATTATAGTGCACATGTCAAAATTCATAAAAGATAGTGGCTTTTGTCTCTAACCTAAGCAGCCCAGCACTGATGGTTCAGGACATTTTGACTGGAGTCAACATCATAGTACAGTGTTTCTCTCCTTCTTTACTCATGTAAAAAGACGGGTCAGTAAGAAATATTTTTGCTCAATCTATTCTAAAGGAAGAAGCACTGTCCTAAAATTTATTGAGACACGACACATCATCTAAAATTTAAGTTTTCAACTTCATATTTCCCAAGAAATACCATCTCTTTTCCCCATTATCAAAGGAGCTCTAAAAAATCAGAGACATTTTGTACGCTCAAAATCTGATACAGTTTACCCAGTGTAGATCCTCCGTAATTATTCATTGAATTGGACTAAATTTGCTTACCTGTTTTATTTAATAATAAATTAGATGAACCTGCTTATAAATTTCCAAAAGGATATTAAATATATGTTATCAAATGTAAACTAGGAACAAAGATAAAAGGGGTGATTTCTTATGTGGTTTTTATTTATTCTAGTGTGTGAAACTAGAGTAAGAAATATAGCAAGGTTCTAAATGCTCTTTGGAGCATATGACAAGAAATCAGAAAATGATTGGAAGAGTAATGCATACAATTGGGGAAGTAATCAGCGGGTAAGGGCAATCATTAAATACACAAATAAAGCAAAGTCTAAAAAGCAAAATAAACCTAGGTTACAAAATGTTTCTTGGTTCTTTTTACTTTTTAGTAAACAGATATCCAATGCCGTCAAGACCTCTTTCAATACATGGCCTTAGTTAACTGAGTAATTCTACAGAATGCAAATGACCTAAATGTCATTTTCTTTCATTAAGTTGCATATTATTTGGCATAAATAAATTCCATCCAAATTATTCACTAAGATTTATGGGCATAACGTAGTAGGAATGAATTTATTTTGGATAGATAAAGCATTAAAGCTCATACAAATTTTTTCAAATAGAGCACATCAACACATATGTACATAAAATATGGCCTTTTATGTTTTCACATTTGTTAAATTGTCCATAAGCACACTAATTGGTGAATTTTAATCAATACTTATAAACTTATGTCAATGAATGTTTCATGAATATTCACTAATTATTCATGATAATTTACATGGATAATATCAACATTTTGAGAACTACGTGTTGAAAATATTTTAGAATAGATGTAGTAATACTGCAGTTATTTAAGTCATGACTCCATTTTACTTGCATTGTATCATTTATCTAAAAATATTAATTTCTTCTATGAACTATTTTTTGTTTTAGTTAACAATGTTACAGTAAAAATGACAAGAAAACCTGCTTATCTTACTATGTATGCCATGCAATCAATAGGTCCATAAAACCCAAAATATTAAAAAAAAAGTTTTCTGTTTCTATAAGACAATATCCTGGTGCTATAGCTCAATTTTATAATTTGGACTACCTTTCCATTTTTTAATTTCCATTTACTTCATTTTTTAACCTCTATCTGATCCTTTCAGCTAGATTGCCACCTTCTACCTTAAACAGGGAAATTTAATCTAAATGAATTATCTCATGTGGAAATGGGAACCTTTGGCCTCTGGGAAATGAGTTACGGATTTAAGGTGGAAATGGAGCATTTTTTTTTTTTAATTCTTAAAAACTGACAGGAAAATGCTTATTCTCTGAGAACCATTTTTAAAACATCAATTGATTTTAAGTTTCTGTGTCAGATATTAGGAATAAAACAATAAACAAGAAACAGGTCTGACCCTCAAGAAGGTCACAGTCAAAGAGAGGACATAAACTTTAACTGAAATTATTGCATTATTATGCTAGATGGTATAATAAATAGAAAATATGTGGTGAGAGGACAAATCAGAAAATGAGCCACATGAATTTTTAAGACAGGTAAAATAGTTGATAACTTGGGTTATAAGAAGTTTCTAAATAATAATTTTTTCCCATATACATAATATAGTTTGGTTATATGTATTTATATTATCAGTGGAAAATTTATATGTTGAAAATAAATTATTTGCTACACAAAGGCAAGCATAATTATTTTGTAGATTATGTATGATTTTGAAAGACCTGGTTTCTAAATTCATTAATATATCTTTCCCCTATAGCCATTTTAGTGACTATATAGGGTGATTGTGTTTTGATAATTGAATCTCAAATATATATAAAAGAATAGCCTGGAAAATGTGCAATTTTGTCTATAGAATTTTTCTGTTGAATAAGTATGTAAATGAGTTTCACAAAATTTGGAAAATGGAGAATAATAGAGATGATAATTTGCTGGTGGTCAAATTACTCCAATATTTTAGTTTCACCTTTTAAGTAATTCACAGATTATCAGTTTATCACTTTTTTTTTTTTCAATTTGGGCATTAGTTCCTAAATTTATTGCCTGCTTGGCTAGAAAGTGACAAACATTTGAAAATGAAAACATTATAAAAGTTTTAGTGAAAACCTTTAATTATTTCAGTCCTTAGAAAAAATGGCTTGATAATTTTATGTTATATACTTGAAACATATTCTCAGGATGTGTACTTGTACAAGGAACCTACTTATATTATAGCTTATATCCACTACCTACCTCACTGTGTTAGACTTTTTCAGTTCTACCAGTACTCTTTTTTTTAAAGTTAGTAAAATTTAGCAATTAATAAATAAGAATATTGTTACTGTCTACCAATAAAGGCATATATTCATAAGCTATTTGATATCTTCTATAACCCCTTTTTTGTAAAATACAATTTAAGCCTACAAATATTCAATCAGATTGCCACATTTAATTGTGTGCTCATCACTAAATATGTTCTTATTTCTTTCTTTGCCTTTAGAAAAAAAATGACAAATTTATCACATAAGTAATTTTAAAAGTGAAGTGAATTCCTGTCAATAAACCACATTCAAATTTTTCTGTGAATAGATAATTCCCCTTCTCTCAGACTCAGGAAGAAGTAGTGAAAACTCTGATGGATGGGAAATGTACTAACAATTACATGTTATCTGACTAATAAAAATGAAATTATTTCTTCCTCTATCAAATTCTATTTTCAGAAGTGTTCATTATGAAATGAAATTGTCATAGAAGTAGAAGAAAGATTTTTAAATTACTTACAAATTTCAGCAAAATTAAGACATTTTATTGGGTGAAGGAATGCAGAAGTGCATATAAACACTTTTGATTTGAATATGAAGCATCATTAGTGTATGCATTTATTTTATTACATTGACCATTGAATATATCATTTCAAAATTTCCTCCCCACTTCCATAATTCTGAGCAAAAAACTATAAATGGAGTTCCATTATATTTTCTTACCAAAAAAATGTTCCCTGGACTCCACTATTCAAAATATTTGCTAGTAAATATTTGCTTTGGACCTTTGAAAATAGACCCAATGAGTGAAACATTTTTATGGCTGACCACACAAACTGAATTCATCAGTTATCTTTAGCTGCATTAATAAAACACTTTAAAATCCAGTTTCTTAAAACAAACATCATTTACTATTTTCCATGTTTCTCTGTGTTGATACACAGTTCTGCTGATGTAAGCCATGCTCTGCTGATCTCAACGGAGTGTACCTATGCATCTGCAGTCAGCTGCCACGTAATCTGCAGCTGGTTTATCTAGGATGGCCTCATTCTTACGTCTTACGTCTGGCAATTGGAGGTACATATTATTTGGAGTGATGGGAGTGATATGATCATTGTCTTTCATCAGGTGACAGCTACCCTGGGGAAGAATATTTCAGTGGCATCAAGAAGGGACGAATCTCAATGCATAAGCACTTTTTAAGCCTCTGCTTTTTTCACATTTACTACTTTCCAATTACCAAAGCAAGAGACATGGATTCTATGCTCAGAATCAGTATGGAGGGGAACTCTGTGAGGGCATAGATACAGCAGGAAGTGACTAAATTGTAGCAATCTATAAGAAATTTTATGCCTTAATTAATTTTGATTTCTCCCACAAAGATGTATGATATCAAAGTTTTTTTTTTTCAAGTCACTAGACTGTTATAAAAAGTGAAGCTGAATGAGATCGTGATTTTACTAGACAGAGAGTGAAACTAATAATGAAAAATGAAGCCAGTGTTACTGGGTATTGTCCAGGGCTAGCATACAAACTGATGTTTTCCTTCAAAAATTGTCTTCATCTACATTTTGGTCTCAGTGTAAACATTTATAAGCTATTAAGTGCCTAAGTGATTTGAAGTACAAACCAATCCAAAATATCAATGCCAACAGGCTAGGAAATGACAGCCAGCTGATGAGACATGATATGTAGCTAGAACTAAGCTATGATTTCTGAAAATCCTGCAAACATTAAAAAATAGTTTCAGAATGAAATGGAGCATGTATCCAGATGACTTTTAGACAATTAATTAATAATGTCATAAATACTTTTTATATTAGGAAAAGTTTTGCCCCAGCCCAACACCACTACTATTTTCAATAAACAGTAAATCTGAGAATGGTACATCATAGACCAAATAAATAACACAATCACTCCTTTTTGTTTAATGATTCAGACTTTTCAATTTATTCAAGTTATTTGAATTCTTTATGCATCATTTGTGTAATGGAAATATTAATACTGACTGGATAATTGCAAGAAATACATAATGAATATTTTATGACATTTTAAAACTGGAAAACACCACATACCTTCTGTTCCACTGCAATTGGATTGGTGCATTCTTAAGCAACCATCCATTATCAAATAATATTATAATACAATTGTTTTAGTAGGAAAATAATGTATAGGCATTCTAGAGATTTTTCACCCATTGCTTTAGTAAAGAATGAATAAAACCTATCCACATAATATACCTATGTGGCAAGGTACGACATTTTTATCCAAACTAGAATCAGATTTTCAGAAGATTCCAGAAGATTCTGTTTCCAAATTGAATAACAACAGAAGTGTTTAGTATAATTAAGTCCCATTCCATAATTAGTTGATAATATTATAGCTAAATTTGCATTATTAAAGCTATATATTCAAATATATAAATTTAGAAGCAACCATTTGAAATATTTGTTTTTATTACATATCACTAAGTAAAATTTCTGGTGTACAGAACCAGAGAACACAAAATAATGTTTCAGAGAACACAAAATTATCTGTACATCAAATCCCTACAACATGCAATTTACCCATGTAACAAACCTGCATGTGTACCTCCTGGACTTAAAATACAAATTGGAAAGGAAAAATAAATTCAAGTAATTTTTCCCAAATATATGCCACAGAACATTATGAGAGTACCCATTTTTGTACATCTACAGAAGACTATTGTACTGATGAAATTTTGTAGTGAACCAAACCTTTAGTTTATTGTCCCTCTGGTTAAAAAACTGAAATGCCTCTAATGGAAAATAGTCAGAATATTGGGTTTAACTCTTTGTTCTTGTTTTATCTCTGCTGCTTGCCTAAAAGTCCTTGATGATTAAAATCTTCAAATTTTTAATTCAAATTTTGCCTATCTTTTCTAGCTGTTCCCTGTAATTTGGTTGGTCTGCAACAAGCTTCTTTATCTTTCTTTGCAGCAAAAACTCTTATACTCTATTTATACAATAGGAAAAGCATTTAATATTTTAGCCAGACAACATTTCTCAATTGCCTCTAATTCCACCAGTGGAAACCTATCTCTAATATCTATGAATGTAATTAAGCCACTGCATCATCTCAGGTCCTGCATGTAGCAGACACCAGCACAAGACTGCAAGACATTTATTCGGGAATATTCCTGTGTAGGTTAGAACAGAACTAGATAGAGAGAGCCCCACACTGCAATAATGGTCTGACATTTGTTAAAGCAGAGAAGGCAGGAACATTGAATAAGAAGTGCCTCAGACTGCAGCGCAGCTCTGAGAATGTCTCAGCCAGAACAATAGGCAGTCCCAGGATCTAGATGACCTATCACAAGAGTCTCAAGATGGGCAGGGAAGGCTTAGCTCTAGGAAGCCCACCATGCTCAGTCAGTAGCTGAAAGCCATCCAGGGAAGGACAGCATGGCCTTGGCATGAGCACTGCAGCAAATCCAGAAGGCAGAGGAGGTGGAGGCTGTCGGCTCACTACAGTCCTCACAGCAAGTCTCCTCACAGAAGGAAGATCTGAGCAGTGCACTCCCGGGCAGGCCACAACCCCTAATTTTACCAGTCTTCCTCTGTTTTACTTTACTTTTCTATTATTTCAGTTTTCTCCTCTAAATAATTAGATAAAATTAAACCCAGATTTTTAAGATTTATGAAACTATCAACAGACAAATATAAATGTCTTCTGAAACACTTAGAGCTATATGCAAATATTAATTATTATGTCACTTCTAAGATACAGTTTCTTACCACAAAAATTCCATTAATAGACAACAAAATAGAAAATAAGTTTGAATTTTAAAAAAGGTAAAATCCATCCTAATGCATTGATGACATATATCTTAAGATATTTGTATTAGAAAAAATAGTACTAAAAGATATACTCTACCTAAGTCCAAACTTAGAATTTTGCACTGCTTTCTGTGTATGTTCTGTTCAAAATAATTTGTGGGCTGGGCATGGCAGCTTATGCCTGTAATCCTAGAATTTTGGGAGGCTGAGGCAGGTGGATCACCTGAGGTCAGGAGTTTGAAACCAGCTTGGCCAACATGGTGAAACCCCATCTCTATTGAAAATAAAAAAAATTAGCCAAGCGTAGTGGCGCACATTTGTAATCCCAGCTACTTGGGAGACTAAGGCATGAGAATCACTTGAACTAGGGAAGTGGAAGTTGCAGTGAGTTGTGATTATACCACTGCACTCCAGCCTGGGCTACAGAGTGAGACTCTATCTCAAATAAATAAATAAATAAACACAATTTAAAAAATAATAATTTGTGATTTTCAGTGGTTAGCAAGCAATCAAGCAACTTTAAACCATTCCAAAATTTTTAATCAGTTTTGAATTTCTAAGAGGAAATATGCATATAAAATGGTATCAATAACCATGATAATTCCTGTTATAATAAAAATTATCATCAACAGAATTCATAGAGTACCAAATCTCTTGTGGATATATGTTGCACTATTTGTAATAAGGAAATATGTAGACCAAATATGGAGACAGGGCTCTTTTTCTCTATTTTCAAATTTTTAAGTATTTAATTGACAAAGATGGACTTTGTTCAAGGTGCACAACATAGGGGGTGGAGCCAAGATGGCCGAATAGGAACAGCTCCAGGCTACAGCTCCCAGCGTGAGCAACGCAGAAGATGACTAATTTCTCCATTTCCAACTGAGGTAACAGGTTCATCTCACTGGGGATTGTCGGACAGTGGGTGCAGGACAGTGGGTGCGTGCACCGAGCATGAGCTGAAGCAGGGCGAGGCAATGCCTCACCTGGGAAGCGCAAGGGGTCATGGAATTCCCTTTCCTAGCCAAGGAAAGGGGTAACAGATGGCAAAATCGGGTCACTCCCACCCTAATACTGCGCTTTTCCAAAGCTCTTAGCAAACGGCACACCAGGAGATTAAATCCCATGCCTGGCTCAGAGGGTCCTACGCCCAAGGAGCCTCGCTCATTGCTAGCACAGCAGTCTGAGATCAAACTGCAAGGCAGCAGCCAGGTTGAGGGCAGGGCACCCGCCATTGCCAAGGCTTGAGTAGGTAAACAAAGTGGCTGGGAAGCTCAAACTGGGTGGAGCCCACCAAAGCTCAAGGAGGCCTGCCTGCCTCTGCAGACTCCACCTCTGGGGGCAGGGCATAGCCAAACAAAAGGCAGCAGAAACCTCTGCAGACTTAAATGTCTCTGTCTGACAGCTTTGAAGAGAGTAGTGGTTCTACCAGCATACAGCTTGAGATCTGAGAACTGACAGACTGCCTCCTCAAGTGGGTCCCTGACCCCTGAGTAGCCTAACTGGGAGGCACCCCCCAGTAGGGGCAGAATGACACCTCACACAGCCGGGTACTCCTCTGAGACAAAACTTCCAGAGGAATGATCAGGCAGCAACATTTGCCGTTCACCAATATCTGCTGTTCTGCAGCCTCCGCTGCTGATACCCAGGCAAACAGGGTCTGGAGTGGACCTCCAGCAAACTCCAACAGACCTGCAGCTGAGGGTCCTGACTGTTAGAAGGAAAACTAACAAACAGAAAGGACATCCACACCAAAACCCCATCTGTACATCACCATCATCAAAGACCAAAGGTAGATAAAACCACAAAGATGGGGAAAAAAACAGAGCAGAAAAACTGTCAATTCTAAAAATCAGAGTGCCTCTCCTGCTCCAAAGGAATGCAGCTCCTCACCAGCAATGAAACAAAGCTGGACAGAGAATGACTTTGACGAGTTGAGAGAAGAAGGCTTCAGACAATCAAACTACTCCGAGCTAAAGGAGGAAGTTCAAACCCATGGCAAACAAGTTAAAAACCTTGAAAAAAGATTAGACAAATGGCTAACTAGGATAACCAACGCAGAGAAGTCCTTAAAGGACCTGATGGAGCTGAAAACCATGGCACGAGAACTACATGATGAATGCACAAGCCTCAGTAGCCGATTCAATCAACTGGAAGAAAGGATATCAATGATGGAAGATCAAATGAATGAACTGAAGCGAGAAGTTTAGAGACAAAAGAATAAAAAGAAACAAAACCTCCAAGAAATATGGGACTATGTGAAAAGACCAAATCTACCTCTGATTGGTGTACCTGAAAGTGACAGGGAGAATGGAACCAAGTTGGAAAACACTCTGCAGGATGTTATCCAGGAGAACTTCCCCAATCTAGCAAGGCAGGCCAACATTCAAATTCAGGAAATACAGAGAACACCACAAAGATACTCCTCGAGAAGAGCAACTCCAAGACACATAATTGTCAGATTCACCAAAGTTGAAATGAAGGAAAAAATGTTAAGGGCAGCCAGAGAGAAAGGTCGGGTTACCCACAAAGGGAAGCCCATCAGATTAACAGCTGATCTCTCGGCAGAAACTCTACAAGCCAGAAGAGAGTGGGGGCCAATATTCAACATTCTCAAAGAAAAGCCTTTTCAACCCAGAATTTCATATCCAGCCAAACTAAGCTTCATAAGTAAAAGAGAAATAAAATCTTTTACAGACAAGCAAATGCTGAGAGATTTTGTCACCACCAGGCCTACCCTAAAAGAGCTCCTGAAGGAAGCACTAAACATGGAAAGGAACAACCAGTACCAGCCACTGCAAAAACATGCCAAATTGTAAAGACCTTCAAGGATAGGAAGGAACTGCATCAACTAACATGCAAAATAACCAGCTAACATCATAATGACAGGATCAAATTCACATATAACCATATTAACCTTAAATGTAAATGGGCTAAGTTCTCCAATTAAAAGACACAGACTGGCAAATTGGATAAATAATCAAGACCCATCAGTGTGCTGTATTCAGGAAACCCATCTCACATGCAGAGACACACATAGGCTCAGAATAAAGGGATGGAGGAAGATCTACCAAGCAAATGGAAAACAAAAAAAGGCAGGGGTTACAATCCTAGTCTCTGATAAAACAGACTTTAAACCAACAAAGATCAAAAGAGACAAAGAAGGCCATTACATAATGGTAAAGGGATCATTTCAACAAGAAGAGCTAACTATCCTAAATATATATGCACCCAATACAGGAGCACCCAGATTCACAAAGCAAGTCCTTGGAGACCTACAAAGAGACTTAGACTCCTACACAATAATAATGGGAGACTTTAACACCCCACTGTCAACATTAGACAGATCAACGAGACAGAAAGTCAACAAGGATATCCAGGAATTGAACTCAGCTCTGCACCAAGTAGACCTAATAGACATCTACAGAACCCTCCGCCCCAAATCAACAGAATATACATTCTTTTCAGCACCACACCACACCTATTCCAAAATTGACCACATAGTTGGAAGTAAAGCACTCCTCAGCAAATGTAAAAGAACAGAAATTATACCAAACTGTCTCTCAGACCACAGTGCAATCAAACTGGAACTCAGGATTAAGAAACTCACTCAAAACCACTCAACTATATGGAAACTGAACAACCTGCTCCTGAATGACTACTGGGTACATAACAAAATGAAGGCAGAAATAAAGATGTTCTTTGAAACCAATGAGAACAAAGACACAACATACCAGAATCTCTGGGACGCATTCAAAGCCGTGTGTAGAGGGAAATTTATAGCACTAAATGCCCACAAGAGAAAGCAGGAAAGATCTAAAATTGACACCCTAATATCACAATTAAAAGAACTAGAGAAGTAAGAGTGAACACATTCAAAAGCTAGCAGAAGGCAAGAAATAACTAAGATCAGAGCAGGACTGAAGGAAATAGAGACACAAAAACCCTTCAAAAAATCAGTGAATCCAGGAGCTGGTTTTTTGAAAGATCAACAAAATTGATAGACTGCTAGCAAGACTAATAAAGAAGAAAAGAGAGAAGAATCAAACAGACGCAATAAAAAATGAGAAAGGGGATATCACCACCAATCCCACAGAAATACAAACTACCATCAGAGAATACTATAAACACCTCTACGCAAATAAACTTGAAAATCTAGAAGAAATGGATAAATTCCTCGACACATACACCCTCCCAAGACTAAATCAGGAGGAAGTTGAATCTCTGAATAGACCAATAACGGCTCTGAAATTGAGGCAATAATTAATAGCTTACCAACCAAAAAAAGTCCAGGACCAGATGGATTCACAGCCGAATTCTACCAGAGGTACAAGGAGGAGCTGGTACCATTGCTTCTGAAACTATTCCAATCAATAGAAAAAGAGGGAATCCTCCCTAACTCATTTTATGAGGCCAGCATCATCCTGATACCAAAGTCTGGCAGAGACATAACAAAAAAAGGGAATTTTAGACCAATATCCCTGATGAACATTGATGCAAAAATCCTCAATAAAATACTGGCAAACTGAATCCAGCAGCACATCAAAAAGCTTATCCACCATGATCAAGTGGGCTTCATCCCTGGGATGCAAGGCTGGTTCAACATATGCAAATCAATAAATGCAATCCAGCATATAAACAGAACCAATGACAAAAACCACATGATTATCTCAATAGAGGCAGAAAAGGCCTTTGTCAAAATTCAACAACTGTTCATGCTAAAAACTCTCAATAAATTAGGTGTTGATGGGACTTATCTCAAAATAATAAGAGCTATCTATGACAAACCCACAGCCAATAACATACTGAATGGACGAAAACTGGAAGCATTCCCTTTGAAAACTGGCACAAGACAGGGATGCCCTCTCTCACTACTCCTATTCAACATAGCATTGGAAGTCCTGGCCAGGACAATCAGGTAGGACAAGGAAATAAAGGGTATTCAGTTAGGAAAAGAGGAAGTCAAATTGTCCCTGTTTGCAGATGACATGATTGTATATCTAGAAAACCCCATCATCTCTGCCCAAAATCTCCTTAAGCTGATAAACAACTTCAGCAAAGTCTCAGGATACAAAATCAATGTACAAAAATCACAAGCATTCTTATACACCAATAACAGACAAACAGAGAGCCAAATCATGAGTGAACTCCCATTCACAATTGCTTCAAAGAGAATAAAATACCTAGGAATCCAACTTACAAGGGATGTGAAGGACCTCTTCAAGGAGAACTACAAAACACTGCTCAATGAAATAAAAGAGGATACAAACAAATGGAAGAATATTCCATGCTCATGGGTAGGAAGAATCAATATTGTGAAAATGGCCATACTGCCTGAGGTAATTTATAGATTCAATGCCATCTCCATCAAGCTACCAATGACTTTCTTCATAGAATTGGAAAAAACTACTTTAAAGTTCATAAAAAAGAGCCCGCATTACCAAGTCAATCCTAAACCAAAAGAACAAGCTGGAGGCATCACACTACCTGACTTCAAACTATACTAGAAGGCTACAGTAACCAAAACAGCATGGTACTGGTACCAAAACAGAGATATAGACCAATGGAACAGAACAGAGGCCTCAGAAAAAATGCCACATATCTACAACCATCTGATCTTTGACAAACCTGACAAAAACAAGAAATGGGGAAAGGATTCCCTATTTAATAAATGGTGCTGGGAAAACTGGCTAGCCATACGTGGAAAGCTGAAACTGGATCCCTTCCTTACACCTCATACAAAAATTACTTCAAGATGGATTAAAGACTTGAATGTTAGACCTAAAACCATAAAAACCCTAGAAGAAAACCTAGGCATTACCATTCAGGACATAGGCATGGGCAAGGACTTCATATCTAAAACACCAAAAGCAATGGCAACAAAGCCAAAATTGACAAATGGGATCTAATTAAACTAAAGAGCTTCTGCACAGCAAAAGAAACTACCATCAGAGTGAACAGGCAACCTACAGAATGGGAGAAAATTTTTGCAATCTACTCATCTGACAAAGGGCTAATATCTAGAATCTACAATGAACTCAAACAAATTTACAAGAACAAAACAACCTCATCAAAAAGTGGGCAAAGGATATGAACAGACACTTCTCAAAAGAAGACATTTATGCAGCCAAAAGGCACATGAAAAAATGCTCACCATCACTGGCCATCAGAGAAATGCAAATCAAAACCACAATGAGATACCATCTCACACCAGTTAGAATGGGGGTCATTAAAAAGTCAGGAAACAACAGATGCTGAAGAGGATGTGGAGAAACAGGAACACTTTGACACTGTTGGTTGGACTGTAAACTAGTTCAACCATTGTGGAAGTCAGTATGGTGATTCCTCAGGGATCTAGAACTAGAAATACCATTTGACCCAGCCATCCCATTACTGGGTATATACCCAAAGGTTTATAAATCATGCTGCTATAAAGACACATGCACACGTGTGTTTATTGCAGCACTATTCACAATAGCAAAGACTTGGAACCAACCCAAATGTCCAACAATGATAGACTGGATTAAGAAAATGTGGCACATATACACCGTGGATTACTATGCAGCCATAAAAAATGATGAGTTCATGTCCTTTGTAATGACATGGATGAAGCTGAAAATCATCATTCTCAGCAAACTATTGCAAGGACAAAAAACCAAACACTGCATGTTCTCACTCATAGGTGGGAATTGAACAATGAGAACACATGGACACAGGAAGGGGAACATCACACACCGGGGCCTGTTTTGGGGTGGTGGGAGGGGGGAGGGATAGCATTAGGAGATATACGTAATGTTAAATGACGAGTTAATGGGTGCAGCACACCAACATGGCACACATATACATATGTAACAAACCTGCACATTGTGCACATATACCCTAAAACTTAAAGTATAATAAAAAGAGGTGCACAACATATACATATATATATACACACACACACATATAGACACACATATATGTAAACACACACACACACACATATATATATATATTAATTAGCTAATATCATTGTGGATCCACATCGTGGTAATGATAACCACAATGATATTAGTTAACACAACCATCACCAACCATGTGTCAGGAGTGGTTTGAGAGCAGTTCTGCTCATAGAGACCTGGGGATATACGCCTGTCTGTGCCCCTGAGAGCAGGCTTAAGACCTTGGCCTCAGGATCTACTTTAGAAAGCGATGTGTAAGTTTTCTGGCTGACTGAACTTTATTTTTCAAGACATTTACATTTTATAAAACTTAAGAAATAATCTATAATATTAGGAAATGACAGAAAGTGATTTGCATTTTTTCCCGTTATTGCAATTTTATATCCTAATAAGAATCTATAATCATCAATTTTTCCCTGACTCACCAGCTTGTGACATCATATTCTTTTGTATAGAGAAAGATATATTCAATGAGAGAATAATTTTTTTTATTAAAATCAATTTGATTATAACTGGTATGGAGTGAATTTTAGGCGATGGGGAGAAAAGTTACAGAGATACAACTAATAAGCAATATCACATACTAATTCAAATATATATTGTTTCAAAGTTTGTTTTTTTGTTTGTTTGTTTTTGAGACGGAGTCTCACTCTGTCGCCCAGGCTGGAGTGCAGTGGCGCCATCTCCGCTCACTACAAGCTCTACCTTCTGGTTCACACCATTCTCCTGCCTCAGCCTCCTGAGTGACTGGTCTATAGGCGCCCACCACCACGCCCAGATAATTTTTTTGTATTTTTAGTAGAGATGAGGTTTCACCGTGTTAGCCAGGATGAACTTGATCTCATGATCTGCCCGCTTGAGCCTCCCAAAGTGCTTGGATTACAGGCGTGAGCCACGGCACCCGGCCTCAAAGTTTGGTTTTTAGTAAAGATACAAATAACCAGAACAACCAGGACACATATTTTTGAAATATATTTTGTTTCATTTTGTAGCATATAAATAAGTAAAACTATACAACCTCCAAACTGCCTTATATAGTTAGTATGCTAAATTATTACTCCTGTGTAATGCCCAGATTACACTTAGAAATATATATTTATGATTATTTTAATGGTTAGGGAAGTCAATAAACACAAGTGGGAAATTTTTTTTCTCATTTGTAGCTTTAGGATAATGGTTTTCAATTTTTTGCATGTTTTTGTTATACCTCTAATTACCAAATTTTGATAATTGGTTTAACACAACACTAAATAAAAGAGGACTATTGAAAATAATGCATTGCCCAGCACTTTGGGAGGCTGAGGTGGGCAGATCATTTGAAGTCAGGAGTTCAAGATGAGCCTGACCAACATGGTGAAACCCCAACTCTACTAAAAAAAAAAAAAAAAAAATAGCCAGGCATAGTGGTGTGTGCCTGTAGCCCTAGCTACTTGGGAGGCTGAGGCAGGAGACTCTCTTGAATCCGGGAGGTGGAGGTTGCAGTGAGCCAAGATCATGCCGCTACACTCCTGCCTGGATGACAGAGCGAGACTCCGTTTAAAAAAAAAGTGAAAAATGAAAATAATGCAAAGATCTAATGTTAATATTATAATGTTATTTATAAAAGCATCTATATTAGTCACTTTCTCCTTTTTGTCTACTCTAAGCTTCCTGTTAGCATTTGAATAAAACTTTTGCTCGGCATATTCATGAGTATTTGCCATCATAAGATCTCCTTTTGAGTTCCATCTTGATACTAAACCAAATTTTTCACCTTGAGCCACAAGTAGTATACTAGTTATCTCATTACTCTAGTGGACAGGTATCAGTTTAACAGTATGCATATTTGCTATGTAACAAAACAAAAACAAAGAACTTGACACACAGATTAAGAGCTAATTCCAGGTTATGATACTCAGCTGTGCTTCACTAACTTTGAATATTATATCTTGGCATCATGGAGCCTTTATAGAATCAATCTTTCAAATGATATGCCAGAAATTACAAATTCAAAAAAGTCTCTACTTACTCATTATCCTTCTTCTTTTAAGGAGTGTTCCTGTGGGCTGATTTCCAAATAGATGAAAGCTGTTGAGCAATAAATAATAAATTTCAAATTTAGGTACTAGTGTAGTCTTGATAGATTAGTTAAAAGCATTTTCAAAAAGCTGGCTTAATACCAAAAATCGAGATATTCATATTAACAAATTGATTAGTGAGAAAAATGTACTTCTCTTTAAAAGTTCTCTACAGATTGAAATATTTTGAAAGTCAGCTAGAACACGTATCTAATGAATAGCCTCTGTTTCCCCAAGATTAGTGAGAGGTGGGGTGGTGTAAAATTCATGTTAAATTTTTAGCCTATTAGTAATTTATGCTATAAAATATTAACATTCATAAAATAAATATGGTGAGTTTTTTGAGCATCTATTTATATGTATGAACCATTTCTAATGGCATTTTCTTTTCTTTCCATTTTGTAAGATAGATGTGAGTAATATTGATGAACGAAGAAAACACAGTAAGACATCATGGAAACATGTTGATTTAAGTCCTAATCATGGAGTTAAGAAACAGTGGCTTTTGAGTAATGATGATATCAGAACAAGAGTAAGTTAAAAGTACCAGAAAGAAAGTAATTGAATTTGTCGTAACTAACTTCTGTCAATAACTGTCTCTAAAACTTGGCCCTAATTTACATAAATTGTATTAAAAATGTTCAAATACTTGGTTATAATCAACTCCAAAACTGCAAAATACTGCTTTTCTCCTAGTGATTTATTATCTAGGCTTCTAGTCTTTGGAGTGAGTTCAAGGGGTGTGGAGAGGGCTTCTAAATTGTCAGTGCTTTCAACAGCATATGTTGTCTGTGGAATCCTGAGACCCTTGATGATGTAGAAATTTGTATTAGAAATGGGATCATACAAAACACCAAACCAAATCAAAACAAAAGACAGAATGAAAAAGGAATCCTACCTTTAGTTATAAGAAAAATATGTCACACTTTCAGAGCACTAAAGTGTAGTCAGTCTGAATTGCTTCACTCCTGAATATAATATATATAAATTTTTATGGTCCTATTTGATGTAAGTGATGTAATTCTATAACCTATTATTGATAGTGTTTTTCCTTATCTGGATTTTATATAGCCAAAGCTAAAAATGTTCTTGTGAGTTTGAGTTGGTTAAACAAATAAATTTGACATTGAACCATATTTCTTTCTGGATGCACAATTCAGTTTATTTAGGGTTAACAGCAAGTTTAAAATGTAATTGATGACAGTAGCCTTTCACAGAGTAATAGGAATTAAGCTTTTATCACCACAGATTTCAGTACTTGACCCTGAACCCCCAAGAGAAGGTTACAACTGGCATGGGAAAGTGTTATTTAAGTGCTTGCACCAAAGATATATATTGCTAAGAAACAATTTTTGAGTGAGAAGTTTACATCGTATCTCTTTATAACCTGTACTAAAATTCATGATTGTGACTGTCATACTTCTGGAGAGCTAAAATATTGTGGACTAGAATCTGATCACTAGTACACTTCAAGTAGAAGATACGTAGGATATAGTAATACTTTTACTGCCATTGTTTTCTTAGAAGAGATTACCTAGTAGATAAGGTAGTTATAAAAGAAAATTATAACAATTTGTAGGTTGGAAAATGATACACAAAATATAATATGTCATCTAAGATATTTCTAATCTAGCATTTGCCTTCCTTAAAGCATGTGTTTTTATGATAATAACTATACAAATTTGCAGACTGAAAGTGAAGCACATCATACAATAATCCAGATTTTCTCTCATTGTCCTCAAGTACCTTCTTTCAATCTGATCTCCATTTATCTAAAGTGAAAATAAAAGAGAACAATTATAAGGGATGGGAGGTCCACTTTTCTTAGCTTGTATATGTACATGTGTGGGTAGTTTATTTGTTTACTATGGGGATCCCATGCCTACAAAGACGGTAGTATGAATTCCAGAAAGTACCATCCATTTTGTTAGCTGTAAAATAAATAATTTCTATACAAGTGACCTTCATTTTATGAGGCTCTGCTAAATTGGAGAAATACTTTCAGAGAACACCTCTTAGAAATTTACTGGGAAAGCCCATGTCAGCTGACAACAGCTAAGTCAAAGCCAAGGATCCAGGTTTATGACCTATGCATTATAAAAAGACAAATGATAATAGTGATGAGATTACTAATTAACATTTATATATCATATATTACATATGTTATATGTTTACATATATAATTAACATTTTCTGAGTGCATAGTATATGGCAAGATCTATATTAAGCATCTAGCAAGTATTTTCTTACTTAATCTTAATTACTATATTTGAGTTGTATTAGTAGTATCCCTATTTTAAGTGAGAACAATAAAATGAAGATGCACTACATAATTTACCCAAAGTTACAGTAAGTGGTAGAGCGCAGTTTCCCAAAAGCCCATGATACTTTGGGAGGTGATACAAGATTGTCTTACAGTCAGATAGTAATTTTTACAATCTATGTAATAACCATAAATTCAAAAAGTTCCCACTCTCCCTACCTCAATGGACATCTACAAATAAAACTTTGGAAAAATGGGTAAAAACATGTAGTGAATACTAGGCTTTTATCTCAGTGCCCCTTTTTCTGATGACATTTTTTCTTATTTCTAGATTCAGAATACTAATAAAACAAGAAAGATTAATAATATCTCATCAATAAAAAGCTTTAGCTAGCTACACGGCTATTTCAGAAAAAAAAAAATCATATTAGAAACAGCAGCCGATTCTCAGCGGTAAATGGGGTAATGGGGGCAGTGACTTTTTTTTTTTTTTTTTGCAATTTCAAGCTTATTTTAGATTCAGGGTGTACATGCGCAGGTTTGTTACATGGGCATATTATGTGATGCTAGGTTTGGGGATAACAAACTGTCCAGGGATAATGTGCTCACTACCTGGGTTATGGGATCATCCCATGCCCCACTACCCTCTGACTCTAGTAGTCACCTGTGTCTACTGTTTTCTTCTTTATGTCCATATGTACTGGGCATTTAGCTTCAACTTAAAAGTAAGAACATTCAGTGTTTGGTTTTATGCTCCTGCATTAAATCTCTTAGGAAAATGGCCTCCATCTCCATCCATGTTGCTGCAAAGGACATGATTTCTTTATTTTTATGACTGAATAGGATTCCATGGTATATATGTACCCTATTTTCTTTATCCAGTCCACAGTTGATGGAGGCCTAGGTTGATTCCATGTTTTTGCTATTGTGAGTAGCACTATGATGAACATAGGACTGCATGTCTTTTTGGGAGAATTTTTTTTTCCTTTGAATATATACCCAATAATAGAATTGCTGTGTCAAATGGTAGCTGTTTTAAAAGTTCTTTGAGAAGTCTCCAAACTACTTTCCACAATGTCTAAACTAACTTACATACCCACCAACAGCGTATAAGCATTCCCTTTTCTCTGCAGCCTCACCAGCATCTATTATTTTTTGACTTTTTAATAGTAGCTATTCTGAATGGTGTGAAATGGTATCTCTGTGTAGTTTAGATTTTCATTTCTCTGATGCTTAGTAATACGGATCTTTTTTATGTTTGTTGGCTACTTACATGTTTCTTTTGAGAAGTGTCTGTTCATATTCTTTTCCTATTTTTTAATGAGGTTATTTGGTTTTCGCTTGTTGCTTTGTTTAAGTTCCTTGTAGACTCTGGATATAAAACCTCTCTCAGAAGCATAGTGTGCAAATATGTACTCCCACTTTGTAGGTCATCTGTTTATTCTGTTGATAGTTTATCTGGCTGTGCAGAAGCTCTTTAGTTAGGTTTCACTTGTCGATTTTTGTTTTTATAGCATTTTGCTTTTGGAAATTTAGCCAGAAATTCTTCACCAAGGCCGCTGTCAAGAAGGGCATATGGTAGATTTTCTTCTGGCATTTTTTAGTTTGAAGTTTTACATTAAATCTTTAACCCATCTTGAGTTAATTTTGATATACAGTGAAATATAGGGGTCTAGTTTCATTCTTCTGCATATGGCCATCCAGTTGTCACAGTATCATATTTTAAATATGGAGTCCTTATTTCTATTGCTTGTTTTCTGTTAACTTTGTCAAAAATCAAGTGGTTGTAGGTATGCAGCATTATGTCTGTGTTCTCCATCCTGTTACATTGGTGTGTGTGTACCAAGACCATGGTGTTTTGGTTACTTGTAGCCTTATAGTATAGTTTTAAGTCCCTCCTCCTCAATTTTTTGGAAGTTGCTGTCCTTTGGATGGGGCTTTTAGATTTTATGTTCTTTATTGCCCTTGAGGATTTGACTGGAGTATAATTTATGTTTACTTAATTGGCTTCATTTCTGGATGCTTACAGGGGGCTGAGGCTCAGCTCGGTACTCCTGGGCTGTGTACTCTAACACTAGGGCTTAGTAGTGGGCCCACAGCTTTGTTCTCTGACCCCTCAAGATTGAGCACTGGCTGTGCTGAAGGACAAGGGCTGAGGTGCTTTCTGTCTGCTGGAAATAGTGCTCCATCAGGAGACACTGGCAAGAGTGCTCCATGGGGCAGGTGAATACACTCCAACAGGGTCTTTGGAAGGCTGCGGGCCAAAGTGCTCTGGCAGGGGCCTGTCCGCAAAAGTGCTCTGGCAGGATGGTGGGGGCTGCCAGTGAAAGAACTCTGGCAGTGGCCACTGGCAACAGCATTCTGGTGGGGCAGTGGGAGAGTTGTGGGCGAAAGTGCTCCAGCAGGGCAGTTCAGGCTATGCTGCAAACAGGTGTAGCCAGTAACGGACACTGGGGAATATTCCACTGATGGCAAGCTTGAAAGAATTCAAGAAAAAAAAAACACTACAGTCAAGCATAGCTTTATTAATGTTGATGCAAAGATCTTAAATAAAACATTTGCAAAATAATTAAACAATGAATTGAAACATACACCATTTCCAACATGAGTTTACTCTGGGAATGCAAAGATGGTTCAATTTTAGAAAAGTTATTCCAAAGTTTATTATATCGATACATATATAAGAAAAGTCTTATGATCAACTCTATCAATGCTCATAAAGCATTTGTCAACATTTAAATTTGGGGAACAGAAAAAAAGATTTATTATCCACTCCTATCTATAATTGTTTGAGATCTTTGTTTCTTTAACTTACATTCTAGTAAATAATTTAGAAATATAAGCAAAAAAGGTTTGCTAGTTTTCTTGTCATCAAGTTTTATTATTTTGTGTTTTTAACTTGTCTCATATAACTCTTAATCATAATACTTTTCTCCATTTTTACTTTCATTTTTGACCAATATTTCAAGTAAATTTTCAGTTTTTTAACATTTTAGAAACAAAAGCTTTTGGCTTTATTTATCTTATTTATATGTTTTATTGATTTGCAATTACATTTTTATTATCTTCTCTTTCTACAACATTTTCTTCAACTAACATCTCATATTAGCCACTGATTTTATTAATATCTCAGCTTCTCTTTTCTAAATATATCTGCTTTAGTTGCATCCCACAAGAGTTGATGTATCATGGTTTCATACTCTTTTAGTTCTAAGTGTTTTAAATCTCACTTTGTTTTCTTCTCTTATTCTTCATTTATTTAGAAATGCCTTCAATTTAAATAAGTATGCCAAAATATTTTCTGTGGAAATTTGCAAGCTAATTATGAATCTTATATAAAAGAGTATAGCAATAACTATCCTTTTGAATAAGAATAAGGTTAGAGATTTTTGCCAAATATCAATATGTATTTTGTAATAATAATAATAATAATAGTATAGTACTGATATGGATATATAAAAAATGACCAGAGCAATAGAATGCATTGACCAGATAAAGACCTTCACGTATGTTGAACTAAAATGTGTGGTGCAGGTGACATGACTTGGTATAAAACAAACTATTTAAAATAAAGGTGAAAATATTTGTAGAGATGGAAGAAAATAAAATTGGAATGCCACATTATATTACACATAAGATTTAAATATAAATAGATGAAGGACTAAAATATCTATGTTTAAACGTGAAACAAATTAGTAAAATGCCTAATAAACAACACTGTTCTGTTTACTGGGGCATCGTAGGAATTTTTTTTTAAAAACCTAATATTTTCTACTTGAGTTTATTAAAATAAAATTTAATAATAATGTTAAAGCTAGTAAATAACAATAGCTCTTCTTCAAAATATAAATTGTAGTAAATGAAAATGAATCTACAAACTGGGAAAATATGTTTGAAATAATCTACAAATAATTGGTATTAATAATATATAAATAACTCATGCAAATATACAAAGAAATGATAACACAATGGGAAAATTGGTAAATAATATATATTGTCTTCCACTTTTATAGAACAGATACACATGACATATTAATGTATTAACAGATACTCTTACTTATTAAAAAATCAAGAAAATACAAATTAATACCATGGTTAAGAAACCATCTTTAACACCATTGATTGGCCACAATTAAGGAGTATGACAGCATTAAGTTTTCTCAAAAATGTGGATAAACAATATCTCCTATAAATTCCTATTTGCAAATATAAATTGATAACATTACTTTGGAGAAATACTTACTTATAAGGCTCAACAATCAAATTCACTCTTAACTGACATTGATTCCCAGGCATATATTCAATAAAATTCTTTCATTTGTATGCTAGGAAACACAAACAAAAATACTCAAAACAATAGTATTGACACCAGGAAGAGTCCATCTATGTGGTACCTTTTAAAATACTTTGAATATAAAGGTAGGCATTAAATATAAGGTAAAACATTTTTTAAATTAAATAAATGGTAATTCCAAATTCGGATTATATCTGACATGGAGAAGTAAAAGTTTGCGTTGGTAGAAGAAGTTATTTTCAGTTATTATCACTGTTTTTTTTTTCAAGTAGAGCATCATTTCCAAAGTGTCACATTAGCTGTACCTTTCAGAGGTTATTCTAAGATTTTACCAGGCTGGAGTTTCTGGGTGGTGTGCTTACGGATGTTAATTATATTGATAGAATAAAAATAAAATAGGGTACAAATGGATTCTTAAGTTGAGTTCTCCCCAAAATAGACCTCGAGTGTAAGATTTGAAAAGACATTGTTATTTAGGAGGTAATCCCAAGAAGCACCAGCATGGGAATGGGACAGTAGGATAGGGAAGAAAAATTAGCTAAAACTGGTATATTCATGAATAGATTACCTCTATGGAAAGCTGTATGTTAGTCCTACTGTCTATTTCATGGAGTATAACACATCCCAAAATTGTTCCAAACTGTCCAAATGTGTGTATAGCCAATATTGGCAGAGGATTGCATTTGATATCATTTACTTCAAAATTTGAGCTGCACCACATGTAGCAAATCTTCCTCATGTGTCTAGAGAAATCCCTCAGGTAAAGAGTTATAAGGCCTTGATGTGAGAAACAATCAGCTTCCAAGGAACAGTGAGCATTGAATATTGGAGAGATATGAGTCAGATAGCAGTAACATCTGCTATGGTTCACTTCTTGCATCTCTCAAATACACATGTGCTACACATTAAATTCCTTCATTTCTCCCTGATTTTTCAAGGTTGTGATTAGTCAAAATTTCCAAATTTTGAATTTGGACAGCTGGATTCATCACTGTTGCACTTGTTTCTGAGGTTATAATTGATAGATAAACACTCTGTTCTCTATCATGCATTTTGGAGTCCAGTGAATAGGACAAGCTGGATTCATCACTATTGCGCTTGTTTCTGAGTTTATAATCCATAGCTATATTCTCTGTTCTCTATCATGCATTCTGGAGTCCACTCATCTTTGGACAGCATT
This sequence comes from Homo sapiens, assembly GCF_000001405.40. Lineage (NCBI taxonomy): Eukaryota > Metazoa > Chordata > Mammalia > Primates > Hominidae > Homo > Homo sapiens. Next base: position 91,848,513 of record NC_000004.12, on the reverse strand, counting down.
TGTGCTAGTTTACGTTCATCATCTAATGAAATAATCCATCCTTGAGGTGTCTGAGCCCTCTGGATACTGTGCCCCTCTCTGGTTGATTACTATAATTACCCATTTGTATTCCCATCACCAGGGATGGAAGCATAAAGAGGGGCGGGCCCCAATTAATTTCCTGAGTTTACATCAGACTCTTCCCTGTTTCCATCATGTAGCAACCACTCTATCCTTTCACCATAGTCAGTTAATCATGCCAGTACAGTAAATCTTTTCTTTTCTTACCAATCTACCTTATGAAGAGCTCAAATTGACCAGCCCTGAGTTACGGTTTTAGGTTTAGAACCCTTTTTATGTTACCTGGAAGAAGTACTGCTCCCATCACTGGAAACCAGGAATTTGAATCATTAAAAAACCTAAGTTTTACAGATGGAAAACACAACTTTCCCAAATGTTACACAGTAATGATAGTAAAGGAGACCACTTTTACTTCATAGGCTAATAGATTTATTAACATAGCTATTGCTGTATACTCTTGTTCTTCTTAGGAATATTCAAACAGCATTTGGTTCTCTTTCTAATATCAATTGAAAATAAAAAGCATGTACTAAGTAGATTCATATCAAGAACTAGGTGCTACATTGATTATTCAAATAAAGAAACCATGTCCAGCTTTATAGTGGCAATTAAGGTTACCACTTGTTTAAATTTATAGAATAGGTGTACAGAAACATCTGATTTTTTCTTAGTCTGATTAATTAAATGGGGATATGATGAAGATAACTAACTTTGTATTATTGGAGTCTTGAAAGTGGTACTAATTTCTGCCATTCTACCCAGGATGCTATATTGCATGTTATTTACAATCTTGGCTGGGGGTTGCATGGGCAGGCATTTTCACACACCTCTGATTGTTCTTTCCTATCACAATGTCTATAAATACACAGGTTTGGGAACTGACTTGATAATGCCAGCTATTAATTATTTCCATTATAATTATTCACTCAAGAAACTGGGAAATGACTGCGGAGTGTTTCCACGGACCCATTGGATCCAGGGTAAGATGGACTTTTGCCAGAACTCCATTTATCACCTCACCTCTTACCTGAGGTCATGATGGTGTCTTGTGTCTCCTGGTTTCAGTGTCAGCATGCAACCCATACATATCCAATGTCTTTTAAATGATCTGAGTATTCTCCTTTTCCTAATCTGGTAGTTTAGGGACCAGCTGTTTTATATACTCGCCATGGCTTTTACCTCCTCTTCTATTATAGGGCTCTGGATCTGAGGCCATGCTCAGGCCTGAAAACTCTCTTAGGGACAGTGATTTTCTGACTGCCACCAGTCTTCTGCTCAAATGCTTTTGATTATTTTTAGCTATATAAGCCAAGTAATACAATACTTTCATTGATAATTCATATATGTTATCCCTAGGAACAGCATGGTGTGTTAGCCATTGCCTCAAATCCCTGAGGATCAAGATCACCTTCTTGCTATTACATCATTGCTGCCCACACAGTTATTACATGAACCTTACTTGTGATGGTTAAATGTTACCACATGGCCTCTGTTATTTCAGAATCCTATTATCTGTGAGTGACGGTACAGAACTCAATATGATAGTGATACCTCTTAATATCAACATTGCTCTCTAAAAGACAGTCAATCCTGAATGTCTCAGAGATGCTAGAACCCCACATTAGAACATTTCTTATTAATTTAGTGAAAGGTGTGTCTCTTAGATTCCCCCAAAGATCATAATCAGCTGATACATTCTTTGGTCTTACTTAACTGATCTATTTGAGCATTCCCTATCCTAGGAATTATTTGACCTGTTTCTCAATATGCTACCTAGACAGTTACAGTGTCTCAATTTCCTGTAAATTACTGTTTCCAGTTTTTGTAGATCAATCTTCCAGTGTATTAGGACAGCTCCAGGAATCCTTGCTGTAAATGTACACTCAGTCACAACAGTACCTCTATATCACTAAACTTTTCCCTATGCAGTAATGTATTCTGCATCTTTGTTCCAGTCCCCTCAATAACCATTGCCATATGTGCTATCCTGTGGGTACATATTAGTCAGAATCTGCAGATCTTTTTGTGAGTAATTTATTTCTTCTCTTAGCAAGACCATGTTGATAACTGAACTTAGCTATTTGTCTTGAAGCAGGAAGTGGGGGAGCTGGCAGACATTGAGGAGATCAAGCATGTGCTATTTTCTTGCAAAAGTAAGACCTATTTTCCTAGACCAGATTCCTTATAGAGGGACCTGGACGCTCAATATTGTCAAGTGTTTGCACTCTAATATCCATTCTGGTCTCAGGATACTATTATTTCCCACAGGACCTGGGCTTGTAAATCTGGGGCCGTGATTGTAGTTTCTTTTGTAAGTCTGCTACTATTACAATCAAATCTTCAGCCTGAGTTTCAGTAGAGTCTACCCTTCTACTACAAATTCTTTTTAAATCCTTTCATAAAGAACTTCTGGCTTTTATGCTGTCCCCTGAATTGATATTTGACTCATCTGAGCCTACATTTTTCTTCTACTATAGCAGCTAACAATAGCCAGTTTATACTCAATCCTTCTAAATATAATTGCCTCCATATTTTTTTCAACAGCTAGAGCTACTTGAGTAATACAGTGCATTCCCTTCCATCAGCATCCTATCCAAATCGAACACAAATGGAAGTCTTAGTAAGTCTTAGTAATTAAGAAGCTGCAGCTCCCAAGGGTTGTTATCACCCCAGTAATCCTCAGGAAAACTATCCTTGTTGAATATGGCTGATGATTGATACAATTCTAGAATTCCATCCCATCTACTTCCTGAAGCCTTACATCCAGTACCAACTGTCTTAGTTACATGCTCCTGTAGCTAGAGAATACCATCATGCAGAGAGTAACTGATGCTTTCAGAGGCAAGCCATTTACAAAAACTACAATGGTAGGTGTTGAGGGATATAAGTGGGGTGCCTGCAGTGATTGCTACACATGGATTCCGATGACATTGTGTAATTAATGAAGAACTATGTGATCTAATTCTACAAACTTAAAGTCCAAAATAAAAATAGTCTAGAGAATAGCATTCAGATATTTGTGACAACATTTTTGATGACCCTTAAAGATGGGATTAGGGACCAGAACTGTATACATGGTCAGCTTTCTTTTAGTTACTTGGAAAAGATACGAATATTTATTTCAAAATGCTGCTGCTTTTAGTTAATTTAATATGAATAAATAGCCAGTTTGAAATTTCCATTTTTCTGAATTTTTATAGGTTCTGTTTAGGCATTTTCTTCCAAAAATTTTAACCACAACATCAAAGAGTTATTCATTTTCCAGTATATTTAGCCAGCTCAAATGGATTTAAGCCTACACTGTAAAAAATAACTGCAAACCAAGAAAAAATTATTTTTCCAGATTCTTACATGATCAACACAATGCTTTCAGCATGTTAGAGATTCTGGTGTTTCCAGGCTTTCTGCAATGATCCCTGCAGTAAAAACCTATTTAGCAACATAGAAAAGTAGGCGAAAAAAATGATGCCTCCTCCAGAAACCCACAATAGGTTTTCAGCAAGCCAAATATTCTTAATTGTAATTTCACATTGTAATCAAGGCAACATACTTTCCAAACTATAGAAAGATCCGTTGGAAACTCAAATCATTATTTTTCTTGTACTTTTGGAAGAAGAGGGAAGAAAAAGATAGAGCCAGTCAGTGTGATTCAGGTGTTCAAAAATGTTTCCTGATCACTGATCCTATATATTAGTCTTTTTCTTCTTTTTACCTGTTTTTATGTTTGCCTTCAACTTCTCCCCAGTTATCTCAACTATATATATGGTATTACATAATGATTTACTCTTCTTCTAAACTTATTCTCTTGGCGATTCACTGTTTTAATGGCTGCAAACACTGTTGCTGACAAAGCCAACGGCTAAGAAAGTCTGGTAAAAAATAGATTCCTTGTCTTTTAAAAGATTTATTGAGTCTTAACAGTACTCTATTGAAACCTAAGGAAATTATAGTTTATGAATTTAGTTCTAACTCTTTTTAAGAACAAAATTTTGAGTTTAAATTTTGTTTTATTTAGATTGTTGGATTTCTGTTTGGTAAATTTTACCTGTGTATCTTCTTTGTTATGAGTAGAAAACTTGTTTTCTTTGTACTCTGTTACTTTGCATAATAATAAAGCAAAATTTTTGACATTGACTTATTTTACTGATGCATTATTTTACCTAAAAATAATACATTTGCTGATTTTCTATTAAATAGAAGTGTTAGAACATATTTTGGAATAGTATATTAAATAAAGACCTTGCTTAGAATACTTTTACTGGAGAAACTAAACATACTTCAAATATAGTGTTAAACCTCACAGTAGACAATCAGAGTCCTAATTTCTATGAGTCTAGGTTATAAGACTATGTATGAGGCAATATCTCTCATCTGTTAAAATAATTATTTTTAGACAGCTATATTAGTTGCTGCTAATGCAGTATAAAATTGTAAGTGATATATTGCCTTAGGTCATTTCCTCCATATAAGACATTGAATGACTGTTAGAGATATATCTGGCAACTAGACAACAGTTAAAGTTAGCAATATGGTTCCCCCAACCCTTTCTTTTGTAAAAGGAGAAAAACATCAGCAAACTCAAGTTTCCTGTGTGGCATAATAATAATAATAATGATAATAATAATAATGATTACTTATCAATTTCTTAATAAAAAATTATATTTTGGATGACCATGCAGCTACAATTAAAAACAAATTGTCCCAAATATATATATATATATACACACACATACATGTGTGAGTATATACCCATACTTATTTGCACATATACATCTGTCTGCCACCCCAATTTTACTACCACTACCATCATTGTAAAGCAGAACTATCCCACTCTCCCCTGCATATGTATCCAAGAAGATAAATGGTGTGACTTGGCAGTAGTAGAAACTTTTTATGAGGAGGCCCTAGGTCCAATACCCTTTTAGGCATAGTCTTGGGTAATATTCTGGGCCTTTGGCTATGTTCTTAAATGTAAGCAGCAGATGGCAATAGTTTCAGCAGGAATTTATTTGTAGATTAGGAGAATGCTACAGTTTTCAAAATCTTAAATTGATTATTTAAAAGTCAACAATAGAATCATTTATAGATAGCAAAATGACAGAAAATCTTAACAAGAAACAATGGTGTCCTTTTAATTTGCTTTCTTTCCAATAATTTTTGAAGACACAATTACTCTAGCTAAAGTAATTATGCTTTGGGTCCTCATTATATGTTATTTAGAAATCTGGTAGACCAAGATTTTCACACATGCCTGAAAACTGTCACATGAGGTGCTTATTAAAAATGTGATTTCCTGTGTCTTTTCCAACAATCTGAATTATACTCTCCAGGAGAAAATTTAGCAATCTCTATTTTTAACAAGGGCACTTGGTATACTTTGTCATCAGGTAAATTTGCAGAATACTGCATTAGACTACGTGATTCAAGTGGCCAGAAACCATTTTCTGCCCATAGTAAGTGCTCAATTGTACCTTAGAGTGAATGATACTAAGACATATAGTTTATTTTCCCAGGATAATACTGATTCTAATTAAACATTACCTACATAAGTAGTGATTGGCAACTATAAGCTGCAGTAGGACAATTCTGAATTTTTAAGACTTCTATTCTGTCTATTGGATGGTATTTAGACTCTGTAAGGACATTCACCTGGGCACCAAGCTCTGGTCTTTATCATGACTCCTCCAATATATCTTTTCTTTAATTTAACTTTTATTTTAAGTTGAGGGGTACATGTGCAGGTTTGTTATATAGGTAAACTTGTTTCATGGGGTTTGTTGTACAGACAATTTCTTCACCCAGGCATTAAGCCTGACACCCATTGGTTATTTTTCCTGATCCTCTCCCTCTTCCCACCCTCTGTCCTGGGGCACACTGATTTCCCTCATCTGTTCTCACCTTCCAGCTCCCACTTATAAGGGAGAACATGTGGTACTCTGTTTTGATTTGTATTTCTCTAATGACCAGTGATGTTGAGCTTTTTTACACGATTGTTGACTGCATGTATGTCTTCTTTTGAAAAGTATCTGTTCATGTCCTTTGCCCACGTTTTAATGTTTTGTTTTGGTTTTTTTTTTTAACTTGTCAATTTGTTTAAGTTCCCCTGGGCGCGGTGGCTCATGTCTGTAATCCCAGCACTTTGGGAGACCGAGAAGGGTGGATCACTTGAGATCAGGAGTTCAAGACCAGCCTGGCCAACATGATCAAACCCCATCTCTACTAAAAATACAAAAATTAGCCAGGCGTGGTGACACGCACCTGTAATCTTAGCTACTTGGGAGGCTGAGGCATGAGAATTGCTTGAACCCAGGAGACGGAGCTTGCAGTGAGCCAAGATCATACCACTGCACTCCAGCCTGGGCAACAGAGCAAGACTCTATCTCAGAAAATTAAATTGTTTACATTCCTTACAGATTCTAAATATTAGATCTTTATCAGATGCATAGTTTGCAAGATTTTTATTTCATTCCGTCAGTTGTCTGTTTACTCTGTTGATAGTTTCCTTTGCAGAAAATCTTAATTTAATTAGATCACACTTGTCTATTTTCACTTTCTTTGTAATTGCTTTTGGCATCTTTTTTATGACATTTTTTCCTGTGCCTATGTCCAGAATGGTATTGCCTAGGTTATCTTCCAGGGTTTTGATAGTTTTGGGTTTTACATTTAAGTCTTTAATCCATCTTGAGTTAATTTCTGTATATGGTGTAAGGAAGGAGTCCAGTTTCAATCTTCTGAATGTGGCTAGCCAGTTATGCCAGCATCGTTTATTGAATATGGAGTCTTACTCCCATTGCTTGTTTTTGTCAGCTTTGTCAAAAATCTGATAGTTGTACATATGTAGTCTTATTTCTGAGTTGTCTATTCTGATCCATTGGCTTATGTGCATGTTTTTGCTCCAGCACCATGCTCTTTTGGTTAGTGTAGCCCTGTAGTATAGTTAGAAGTCAGATAGTGTGATGCCTAAAGCTTTGTTCTTTTTGCTTAGGATTGCCTTGGCTATTTGGGCTCTTTTTGGGTTCCATATGAATTTTAAAATAGTTTTCTCCTAGTTCTGTGAAGAATCACATTACTAGTTTAATAGGAATAGCATTAAATCTATAAATTGCTCTGGGAAGTATGGCCATTTTGATGATATTGAGTTTTCCTATCCATGAGTATGAAATGTTTTTCCATTTGTTTGTGTCCTCTCTGATTTCTTTGAGCAGTGTTTTGTAGTTCTATTTGTAGACTTCGTTAACCTCCCTGGTTAGCTGTATTCCTAGGTATTTTATTTTCGTGTGTGGCAATTGTGAATGAGACTGCATTCCTGATTTGACTCTTGGCTTGACTGTTATTGGTGTATAAGTGTGCTAGTGATTTCAAACCAATGTATATTTATTGTACAGTATTGCCTCAAGGTTTTTTCCCCTTATATAAGTTCTTTCTTTTCTATCCTCAACTTAGTTTCTTCAGTTTAAGTGAGAAGTACCTGCACCTAATTTAAACATTGAGATGAAGATTAAATAAGATTAAATAAGAGCATATATAGTATGTGAACTTCAAAAAGTATTCATTCATAAGCTGTTTTTGCAATGAGAATTACTCACCAATTCTGTCTTCTACAAAGTGGCATAACCCTTATCAAATGACAGGATCTGGGCCATTATCTCACAATTTTCTTCAAGGAAAATTGCTTTTAAAAATATAACAAAACAATCATAAGCAGTTAAACAGTGTACTGTTCTCTAGAGGATGTTGACTTGAAAAACTTCCAACCCATTCTCAAATAATTTCCATGACAGTATGATATAGTCAATACCTGGTTTGGCTTGGAAAAGTTGGATCGTCTCCCTCTTAAATCTTCTATATAAACCTAGATAACTACAATAAACCTACTCTTAGTACAGCACGGCATTTGCTTAGCCATCTGTTATATTTACATAACCAGAGTCCAGGCTGTTCCCTGGGGCTCTACAACTTAATCAAGTACTCTGTTTACACAGTCATGTATTCCCTGAGAGCTGCCTCTAGTGATGAAGTTTATACTGCTAAATCTATCAATTAGTCCTAACTACTAGCCAATCAGTTAATAAAACTGGAAAGCTAGGCCAGAGTTCCTCCGACTGTCTTAATATATTCTTTAAAAATGCTAAAATTGATTAATTCCTTCATTTGTTATTATTATTTTTTCAGTGTCAGAAAAATTTGAGACTATTATAGATTCAACCAAAATGGCTGTATACCAAAATGAAGGGACAGTCATTTAAAACCAATAAATACCCTACTAAAAGTTACTGTTTTAAAATTACCACCACCAATTCCAAATAATTTCAGTGATAAAATACTCATTTTCAAAAAACAAAAGCATCTGTGATCGAAGTTCTAATTAAAATAATTGCTGTACTTACTGCTGAGTTGATGTATGCATATATATGTACTTGTATACTTGTACAGATATGTATATTATATATTTAATATTGTATTGTATTTCTATATAATTTATATTAGAGATGTTAATAATATTAATATTAAATGTATGTAATACATATTTAGGTATGCATATATATTTCAAAGTAGCACAGCATTAGTACTTATCTCTTAATAAAACATTGTATTCTACATGGAAGATATTAGATAATTAAGTTAAGTACTCCTCCTCCACTCCCATTCCCAGACCTAGATCTGTATGTATGTGTTTTCTTTCAAGTAGGACATTTAAAATAAATGATCATTGTAAAGGCAAAGAACAGAAATTGAGTTACTTCAATTTTGTCATTCTATGCGACCACTTGTACTTTTTTAATTAATCAACTTTATTTTTAGAATAATTTTAGAATTTGCAGAAAAAAATTGAGCAGATAGTACAGGTAGTTCTGATATGAACCTCTCCCCTACACAGTTTCCCCTATTATTAATCTGGTATTAGTGTGGTACGTTTGCTATAATTAATGAACAAATATTGACTGATTATTATTAACAAAATTTTATGGTTTCACCCTTCGTGTTGTAAAGCTCTGTGGGTTTTGAGAAATGCATAATGTCAGGTATTAACTGTTACAATATCAAACAAAATAGTTTTGCTGCTTGCCCTAAAAATCCCTGTTTTTCACCTAGTAAGGCCAACATCTGCTGCCTGGGCAAACATTGGTCTTTTTTTACTTTCTCTATACAATAGTGTTACATTTTCCAGAATTTTATATAGTTAGAATCATACTGTATGTAGCCTTTTCAGACTGGCTTCTTTCACTTAGAAATTTTCATTTATGGTTCCTCCATCTTTTCATGGCTTTAAGCTCACTTTTTATTACTGAGTAATATTTCATTTTATGGAAGTACCACCATTTGTTTCTCCACTAACCTTTGAAGGAAGTCTTTATTGATTCAGTTTTAGGCAATATTATAAATAAAGATGTCTTAAATATTCATGTCAGCTTTTGTGTGGTAATAAATTTTTAACTCATTTGGATAAATACCTAGGAGCAAAATACCTGGATTTTATAGTAAGACTATTCCTAGCTTTGTAAAAAACTGCTAAACTGTCTTCCAATGTGTCTTAACCATTTGGCATTCTCAACAGCCGTGAAAGAATTCTCTGTGGTTTCTCATCCTCATCAACATTCCATATTTACAGTTTTAATTTATTTTTTAATTTTTGCCATTTTAAAAGATGCATAGTGGTATCTCACTGCTGTTTAGTTTGCAATTGCTTAATAACATGATGTTAAGCAATGCTGATTCATCATTTTAGATAATAGTATTTATAGAGATTTCAGACCTGGGTTGGATGGTTTGAAAGTGGGTCTTACAAGCTGGGGAACTGATTGAACTTGGACAGAGTTTCTAACACAATAGATTTGCATTGATTTGTACCATGTGGCAGGGGCTTAGAAGTGAATGAAACTTGATAAACAAGAATGTTACAACAGTTCAGATTACAAATGTTACAAAGTTACAAATGTTACAAATGTTACAAAGTTCAGATTTCCAGGGACAAGTATTTTATACTGAGAAATACGTTGATTTCAGTTAACACAATATATTCTTAAACTTTCATATTTGGAAACGCCTCAAAAATGCCTGACATTCACAGAAACTCTGGAGAGAATCACACAATTTCCCAAGCTAAAATATTTTCCAGTGGGTCATTTGTTTGAAATAGTATGGCCTCTTGAATTTACTAAGATCCACAAACAAAACAACATAAGGCAACACAAAACAATTCTTTGAAAAATAAAAAATGGGAATGATAGAGAAATAGTCACAAAAAAATAATATTTTGACAAGAAATTCTTTTTGACACTTCTCACTGTCTTTTCCTTGTTTTGTTATCATCATTTAAAGAAAAGCAGCAACACATATGGACACAATTCAAAGAGGAAAATAGATGAAATAAGAGCCAAGATCACAGATTAAAACGTTATCTGTTTGGTAAATGAACAATAGTTTCAGGGAGCCATTCACATACAAGTTCAGTGACCTTGCCTCACTTAGCAAACCAGGAAATATTTCCTTCCCCACAGCTCTCTCTGCATGCCCTAGAGTACTTACTGCTATCTCTAGAATATAGTTGTCTCAATTTTCACAAACTGTCAGACACTGAGATATGTCCTTTTCTTTTTATATTTATGGGTAGCTTAAATTCCTGAGGGGATGAATTACCGAAGATAGTTAAAGATTGTAAGACAAGAAGTAATGGCCTGAAACATGAAGAAAGAATGCTTAAGCTAGATAAGATGAAGAAATTCTTAGTCATGAGGTCTATGAGGCAATCAAATAGGGTACCCAGGGAGGTAGTCAAGATATCATCACCAAACTCTATTCAGACTCAAGGGAAAATTAGACAGCTCTGGATGAGAGAACAATAAATCATATTATTTGGCAAGGAAGAAATAATCTACTATAGATAACTCAAGATGCAGCTTTTGAATAGTTAGCCTATGCAAAATGTTAATTCTAATTGGGATAAAAGTATCACATTTTAAGAACTAATAATACATTTTGAAATTATTTTTAAAGGTTTCAGTCCATATTGATTCAACAAATATTCATGAAGTGTCTACCAGATACCCAGATACCAGCCCACTTTTCTAGGCTTATTTAATACATACTCAGATATCACATAGTTGTATGAAATATTGGTTTCTAATAGTCTACTGATGATATTAGTTGGTGACCTCAAACAACATGCATAGTTAAAATACACTAAACACTTCATTTGTTTAGCATCACATAGAAATATATATTTTAGTACTTGATACACATTTTCTGCAAATGGCATGCTATTTCTTAATTGCTATAAATCATGCCAATCAAGTTACCTAATTTTTCCTACTCTTTCATTATGCTGTTCAACAGAGATAATTAATGGCTTATGTTTTACTTGTACCTATTCATTTCTGTATCCTATAATAATTAAATATAGATACTATATTTTAAAAAACTATGCCATACAAGTCCTATAAGCAGCATACCATTTATGGATTATATTAAATAAAGCTAAAGTAAAATTTGAGGTATACTTGATGCACAAATCACTGCTATTATTTAATTTACAGTTTGCTAAGTTTTGATATTTATGTATGCCTTGACCCATCACTACAGTCAAGATAAGGAGCATATCTTTCACATTCTAAAGTGCTCTTTTGTAATCCCATCCTCCCTCCCTTCCCCAAAATATAACCATTGCCAGACAGCCATTGGCCTGCTCTCTCCCACTATTGATTGGTTTGAATATTCTAAAATTTTATATACATGGAATCATAAAGTACACACTCTTTCTTGTCTGGCTACTTTCACTCACCATAATTATTTATGTGATTCATCTATGCGGTTGAATGTATCAATAATGAACCATTTGGTTTTAACATTGAACAGCACTCCATAGTATAGATGTGTCACCATTTGCCTATCCATTCACCTACTCATGGATATTTTGACTGTGTTGGTAGTGTGGGGCTATTACAAATAAGGCTTCTATGAATATGCATGAAAAAGTCTTTGTATAGACATATGCTTTCACTACTTGGCATAAATACTTCAGATTAGGATTACTGGAACCTATATTTAAAGTTTTAGAAAACAGACAAACTATAAAAATTATGGTTTTACATTTAAACCACCCGTGGGACAGTCTTGTGTGGAGGTCTTTTTAATTTTACCAATTTAACTATGTGTATAGTGATATCTCACCCTGCTTTTAGATGACTAATGGTGTTGAGTATCTCTTATGTGCTTATTTGCAATTCATGCATCTTCTTTCGTGAAGTGTCTGTTCAAATATTTTGCACTTGTTTAATGATTTATGGGTTGACTAGTGAATTACTTAGACTTGTTTTTATTTTCTTAGTGTCTTTCAAATAGCAGAATATCTTAATATTGATAAGGTTATATGTCCATTTTTAAAAAATTCATGGATCATAATTTTGGTATCTAAAAAAATTATCAAACTCAAGGTCATAAAGATATTCCGCTATGTATTATTCTAGAAAGTTTATGTTTTAGATTTCACACATAAATCTATAATCCATTTGAGTTAATTTTTGTATATTTTAAGATGTATATGCATTCAAGTTTATTTGTTTATTGCATGTGATTTCCAATTCTTCCAGCACCATTTACTGGCTATTTTTTCTTCAAAAAGTTGCCTTTGTACTTTATCAAAAATAAATTGACTGCCCATGCATGGATCTATTTCACAACTCACTATTGTGTTCCACTGATTTATTTGTCCGTCTTTAGCATAGTACCCACTTTGTTGCTATCTATTGCTTTGCAATAAGTCTGTTTGTCAGTATCTTTACAAAGACCACAGAAATTTTTATTGGAATTACACTGAATCAATAAATCAATATTGAGAGAATTGTCCTTTTAACTATATTGAGTTTTTTAATTCATGAATGCTATATCTCCAAGTATTTAAATCTTTAATTTATTAAGCAACGATTTATACATTTTAGTGACTATGTCTTTCACAACTTTTACGTTTACTGCTACATGTTTCTAATGTTTTCATGCCTGTTTATTTTACTTTTTCAACTTTGAAGTTTAGGAAGTACATATGCAGGTTTGTTATATGGGTAAATTGTGTGTCACTGAGTTTGGGGTAAAAATGATCCTGTCACCCAAGTAGTGAGCATAGTACCTGATAGGTAGATTTTAAACCCCCATCCTCCTCCCACCCTCTCCCCTCTTGCAGTCCCCGGTGTCTATTGTTCTCATCTTTATGTCCATGTGTACTCAATGTTTAGTAGGCACTGGTCTCCATTGCCCCAGCTGAGGGATCCTGCCCTCCCCAGTGAAAGGCTCACAGCACAGCTGACCTGCCCTCACCTGATAATTTCACTTGTAGCCCAGATCCCTTAAAAAAATCAAACCCCCACAGTCCTGTGATATTCCCTTGGCCTCCCACCACCTAAGTGTTCTGCCTGCCCCTGCCTGAAAGTTTGGCCTGTGACCCGGAGACCAGCTTACCTCTCCCATCACTGCCAGCACCTTAACTTTGGGCTAGCCTGACCCTGGTCCAGCCCCTTCAGGACTCATACACACTGTCCAGTAGTCCATCTAGGTGCCAAGAACTGAGGAACTACTTACTCCCATTCCGATTCTCCTGACACCTCAACACTTCCCCCAAGGACTTATGTTGGACTGAGTCAACCAGCCAACACCACCACAACCAACACCTACTCACATGGGTCCAAAGGTAGAGACCCCTCCCCCTTTACAAGAAGCAAGAATACTGCCACATTGGAGAACAGGTGAGTTTTAAAGCTATCTGCATTGGGCTGAGTATCAAGCTTGCATCCTGAAAACACTCCCCTGGAGAGTTGCAAAGTAGGCATTCCCATGGCTCTCAACCACTTTGTGGTCTGGAGATGGAACTAGGAGTCCCAAGCCCTGGAAGAGACATTCAACCACATTGTGGTCTGGAGGTGGAACTAGGAGTCACAAGCCCTGGAAGAGACATATGATAGGGAAATGCATCACATTCTTGTGTATCTAGGACAAGGAGCAAGTACACTCCCCTCACTGCCTCTGAAGAGACCCCAGCATGCTTCGCTAGGAGCTCTTCCCAGGAACCTTCATCAGGGCTGGTTCCTGAGCTCACCACTGGGGTATTTATGGACAATCTAGGGGCTCTAGCACTGTCCAGCTGTCTCTCCCCACCCATGCAGGACAGCAAGCAGGACACCAGGCATCCCACTTGTCCAGCCCTTCACCTGAAACAACAGAAAGCACCTCACAGAAAACAAAGATAAGGTCCATACCCATCTCCTTGAGTGACAGCTGGCTCTTACCTGCAAACACCACCTATTGACATATAGGTCAAACTGCACAGCCCTATATAAAAATCTACTGAGGGAAGTGCACAGGACTATAGAAACAAAGCCAAAAAGACCCTACCCAACACAGCCCTCTCCAGATGAGAAGGAACCAGGATAAGAATTCTGTCACCATGAAATGTTTGAATGTGGTGACATCACCAAAAGATCACCCTAGCTCTCCAGCAATGGTCCCAAACCACAGTGGAAACTCTGAAATGACAGATAAAGAATGCAAAACATACATTGCAAGGAAGCTCAACAAGATCCAAGACAAGATTGAAAGTCAACACAAAGAAACTTCTAAAGTAATCTAGGAAATGAGAGAATAGATAAGTATATTTTTTAAAAAAATCAATCAGAGCTACTAGAACTGAAAAACTCACTTAAGGAATTTCAAATACAACTGAAACCTTTATCAATAAATTAGACCAATCTGAAGAAACAATTTCAGAGCTTGAAGATAAGCCTCCCGAACCAACCCAGTCAGGGAAGAATGAAGAAAAAGGAATTTAAAAACATATTTTCCAGGAAATATGAGATTATGTAAAGCACCAAAACCTATAATTTATTGGCATTTGTGAGAGGGAAGCAGAAAAAGCAAACAACCTGGAAAACATATTTGAGAAAATAAGTCAAAAATTTTTTTTCCTAATCTTGCTAGAGAGATAGACATCCAGATACAAAAAAATCCAGAGAAACTCTACAAGATACTACACAAAATGAACATTACTAGGGCAGCAGACAGTCTAAGGCAGGGGACCCCAATCCCTATGCTGTGAACCAGTACTGGATTGTGGCCTGTTAGGAATCAGGCTGAACAGCAGGAGGTGAGCATTACTACCTGAGTTCCACCTGCTTTCAGATCAGATAGATTATCATAGGAGCATGAACCCTAATATAAATGGTTCATGCAAGGGATCTAGATTGGGCATTCCTTATGAGAATCTAACTAATGTCTGATGATCTGAGGTGGAACAGTTTCATCTCAAAACCATCCCCTACTCCCCAGTTTGTGAGAAAACTGTCTTTCATAAACCCTGTCCCTGATGCCAAAAAGGTTGGGGACTGCTGGTCTAAGGTAAATATTAAAAAATCTTAAAGGCAGCTGGAGAAAAACATTAGATCACTTACAGAGGGAACCTCTTTAAGCTAACCTTGAACTTTTCAGCAGAATCCTCACAAGCCTGAAGAAACTGGGGGGCTATTTTTGGCATTATCAAAGAAAATAAACTCCAAACAAGAATTTCATGTTTCACCAAATTAAGATTTATAAGCAAAGGAGAAATAAAATATTTTTCAGATAAGCAATCACTAAGAGAATTTATTACCACTAGACCAGCCTGACAAGGGATCTTATAGGAGTTTTAAAAATGAAAATGAAAGAACAATACCTGCTATCACAAAAATAGCACCTAAACACGTAGCCCACAGACCCTTTAAATCAACTACACGGTAAAAACTACAAAACAACCGCTAACAAATTTACGATATGATCAAAACCTCACATATTCATATTAACCTTGAATGCAAATGGTCCTAATGACCCATGTAAAAGGTACAGGATTGCAAGTTGGATAACAAAGAAGACCCTTCCATCTGCTGTCTTTAAGAGATGCATCTCACTCATAATGACGCTCATAGACTCAAAGTAAAGGATTGGAGAGGGCTGGGAGGAGTGGTGCACACCTGTAATCCTGGCACTTTGGGAGGTGGATGTGGGTGGATCGCTTGCGTCCAGGAGTTTGAGACCAGCCTGGGCAAAAAGGGCATCTCTACACAAAATATAAAAATAATTAGCCAGACGTGGTAGCACATGCCTGTAGTCCCAGCTACTCAGGAAACTGAGGTGGGAGGATTGCTTCAGCCCAGGAAGCAGAGGTTGCAATGAGCTGTAATTGTACCACTATACTCCAGCATTCAAGCCTGGGTGTTAGAGTGACACCCTTTCTCAAAAAAGCAGGGGGTATTGGTGAATGATCTATCACACAAACATAAATCATGCTCCTTTTAGAAACGTTGATTTAATTTCAATTTTTAATTTTCAATTATTTGTTTTAAAAATTTGATTCTGGTGTGCTAATTTTGTACCTTGAAATATTGCTAAAAATGTATTTAGTACTGTTAATAGTTTTTGGTAAAGTGCATAGAATATATAAATGATCACACTATCTACAAATAATATAATTTTTCTTCACAAAAATTGATGTTTTTTTATTTATTTTCCTTGCTTATTGAACTGCTTAGAAGTACAAGTACAATGTTGAGTAGAAGTCTTGAGAGCAGTCATCCTTTCCTTATTCCTAAGCTAACTGGGAAATCATAATTTTTTTCATAATTAAGAATGTTATAGAAGAAAATTTATACATTCTTTCTAGCTTCTCTTTATCCAGTTTTAAAAGTCCCCATATATTTGAGAATTTTTAGTAGAATGACATGTATTTTGTTAAAAGCAATGTCTATTATTATGGTTTTTTTCCTGAAATGATTTTTAATGTCAATATTTTCCTCTCGATCTATGCAGGCTGAAAACTATTGAATTACATGGGCAACATTATGGAATTTTGAATGAGATAATGACTTGAATATAAGCATTAACATGCTTCCCTTTATTTGGCTCATGGATTATCAGAGTTTCATATATACAGAATGACTAATAAAGAATCAAGAAAACTTTGAAAATAAACTATGATTCCAGATAGAGAGGGAAATGCAAGATAACAGAGTAGAGGGCTACACCAATTGTCCCCCCAGCAAGAACACCAATTTAACAAATATCTACATACGCACACACAAAAAAACCTTCATAAAAACCAAAAATCAGATGAGCATTCATGGTACCTGGAGTTAACTTTGTATTCATAAAAGAGGCACTGAAGAGGTGAAAAAAAAATAGAGTCTTGAGCTGCTGACACCACTCTTCTACAATCCCCAGGCAGTAGCCACATGATACAGAGAGCATTCCTGTGCTCTGGGGAGAGAAAAAATGCAGCAATTGTGAGGCATTAAACTCACTGCTGCCCTGTTATAGTAGAAAGAAAAAGCAGACCAAAATCAGCTGACATCCACCTATGGAGTGAGCATTTAAACAAAACCTAGATAGAGAGGAATCACCAATCTCAGCAGTCAGAATTTGAGTTCCCGCATGCCTCGCCACCATTGGCTAAGGTGCTCTGGGGCCTAAAATATAGTCAAAAGGCAGTCCAGGCCACAAAGTCTGCAACTCCTAGGCATGTCCTAAGGCTGAACTGGGCCCAGAGCCAGAGGACTTAGTGGGCATGTGACCGGGATACTAGCTAGGGCAGCTAAGGTAGTGCTGGCATCACCTTAGCCCTAAGCCAAGACTGCACAGCTTATGGCAAAAAAAATAAGCCCTTCCTCCCACTTGAGGAAAGGAGAGAGAAGAGTAGGGAGGACTTAGTCTTGCATTTTGAATACCAGCTCAGCCACAGCAGAATAGGCCACTGGCCAGAGTCATTAGGCCCCCACACCAGGCCATAGCTCCAGGAAGACATTTCTAGACACCTCCTTGGCCAGAAGGAAACCTGTTGCTTTGAAGGAAAGCACCCATTCCTGGCAGGATTCATCACCTGCTAATCCTAGTTTTCATCAAGAATGAAATCTCACTTTCTTCCTCCATTTAAGTATTTTTTAAACCTAATCTCATATTATCCAATGTAAAATTGTTAAATACAATTTCTTAAAATCATGTATACATTTTATATATTTTTATTTCAGAATAGTCTGTCTGCCAGTTGCTAACAGTCTACCAAATTTCTCTGACTTCCAGGTATGTAGTCATGCTAACTGTGTCTCTGTGTGTTTACAATTAATAAATATATAGTATATGTATTTATTATATATACTAAACATATATATTCTATGTATATATTAAGTAAATATATTAAACACTAATATTCAGTAATATAAAGAGATTTTTCTGCTAAGCAAATTTTTTTTAATGTGAATAGTTATTCTCAAATTAGTTATTTGTCTTGGAAGTTAATATTCATAAATAAATTCCTTCTTTAGTGTTATCCAAAAGATAAAGTTATTAGTTTTGTGATTTAAAAATTTGGCTCTGAGTCATAGAAACCAAGTTTAAATATTGGTTCCAATATTTATTAGGTGTGTGATCTGAGGCATGTTATTTAATATCTCAACACATCAATTTTTTCATCTGTAAAATGGAAAGAATAGTAGTAGTTGTTTAAAAAGTTATTATGTGGATTAAATTAGTAAACCTTGTAAAGGATCTGGTACACTATATGAATATACAATAATAGTTAACTAGACATTTATTTACAGCAGTCATTTGTGCATGTATCTACCCCACAAGAATATATCTCACTATTTCACCAAGGGAAAACAACGCAATACTAAAATTTATATAAACTGTGTCATGCTCTCTGGCACCACTTTTTATTGCTTTATACCTAACACAGTGACCACAGAATGAAGCCTAAGAATTTCACATATGCTACCTAATCAAGATAAAGTCTATAAACAGTCCAAAGCTAAAGAAATATAACCAAAGTTAAAACCATCAAACTTAAAAGCTAAATTGAACCAATCAAAATGAGTATTATGGCATTTAATGATTTTGTTTAGCTAGTGGTAATTCAATATTGAAGAAATCAAAATTAATTGCCAAAACTTTATATCACCAGCCAAAGTAAATGAATAATTTATTTAATTTTTTAATGGCATAAGGAAGAACGGTGTTTTATTTAAAAGAGCACTACAACATAGATAAGAGTGCTAATTCCAAATTTGTTCTTGAATTCTGGAAACTATACTACATTGTAAGCAATGAAAAAACAATTTTCTATACCTACGACAAAGTTCATAATGTATCATTTATTGAAAGAGTGAACAAGTTATAGCCCAAACTATAATCAAGAGGTGAGGCAATATCACTGTTACATAGTGAAATCTTAGATATTACTACTGTTATAAGAGGAGTGATATATTTACAATATACATCTGGAGCAGCGTTTTTATTCTATTTCTATATTTGGAGAATCTAGCAATGTAAACGTGGTAGTGACCTAGTTATATTTGTTTCTAATATAATGATTAGAAAGTAATACATTTTAAATTTACTATATTATAATTTCCAAACTCCAATTCTGTGCACCAATATACGATTTAGATGCAGCCCTGTGAGTTGTGTTTCATAATATAATGTATATAGATTAACTAGAGGGCATAAGGAATCATTCATTCATTCTTCCATACCCATATTTTGCCTATGAAAATTTAGAGTTATGAAAGGAGCTACTTCTTGACCTTTATATTCCCATTATGTTAATAGTCAGTCTCATGTTATACAAATCATACTTCTTGATAAATGAAAATCAGCCCTACAACATCATCAATAATTTCATAAACATAGTATTAGCATGTTCCTTCTCTGAGAAAAAAAATTCTGGAAAAAATTCATAGTTTTCCTGATAAATTATTTCCATTTTTCCAAATTAGTTCTACTTAATTTGTAATTAATAAGTACATCTTGAAGTTACAAAGAACTCCTATAGCAAAAACATTATTTAAAGTACTTCCTATGCGTTTAATAGATTTTATCTAGATTTCTCTCTCTAGATAAATTTTATTTATCTAGATAAATATAAAATAAATAAAATTTTATCTAGATTTTATTTAGATATCTCCTAAATGATCATTTAGTACTTTGGATTCTACAAAGTCCAGAGAAACTGAGGTTAAATAGAAGTTTTCTCAGTATGTTTGCATGAATGAAATATGCAAAGATTGATTCTAAGAAATTATTTAGCACAACAAAGGCAGGATCATCCATGTAACCCCTTCAGAGATTGAACATGAAAAGCAGAGTTGCATGCTCACAGTTTATAATTCTGTGTTATCTTTCATAAGATATGAATTTAAACTGATAAAAGAAACAGCCTCAAAGATAACTAGTGTAGGATTACATTAATAAAATTGATAAGAAAAGCTTTTGGTTATTGTCATGTTACACTGGTATAATTAGTATAGTAAGTAAGAAACATGAAGACAGAAAAAGTGCTGAGTTTGCATGTCTCAAAGGGCAGAATGTGATATTAATAAACAGAAATAAGATCTAAGCCAAACTTTAGTAAAAACCAATTAAATATTAGCCCCAAATTTAATTAATTTTATAAAAATTAAGACATATTATATAAAGAAATAACTTTTTTTTTTAGATGGAATCTCCCTCTGTTGCCCAGTCTAGAGTTCAGTGGCATGATCGCGGCTCACTGTTACCTCTGACTCCCAGGTTCAAGCAATTCTCCTGCCTCATCCTCCCAAGTAGCTGAGATTACAGGCGTGTGCCACCATGCCTGGCTAGTTTTTATACTTTTGGTAGAGACTGGGTTTCACCATGCTGGCCAGGTTGGTCTCGAACTCCTGACCTCAGGTGATCCTCCTGCCTCAGCTTCCCAAAGTGCTAAGATTACAGGTGTGAGCCACTGCACCCAGCCAATAATTTATTTACATCATTTGAAACTATCACCTATTTTGAAGTATATTCTGTTACAAAAGAACACCCTAATTTTTCTTTGAACTTTCTGAATTCTTGCTTCTCTTTGTTTGATTCTACTGTTCATCCAATTTACCATTAGAACCTAAAGCCCAGCATTAAATTATTTTATTATGATGTTAGATATAGATGATTCAATATCTACAGTGAAACAAAGTGCCAAGGATTTATATCTAGAATGTATGAAGAATGCCAATAAATTAAAAAGAAGAAACAGAAACTTAAAAGAAAAATGGCCAAGAGATTTAAAGATTTTCTTTTAGAAACAAAGATAATCAAATGGCCAACAAGCATATGAAAAGTTGCTTACCAACACTGGTCATCAAGTCATAGAGAAATGACTTTATAGTTCTAATGACATACCTCTGCATATCAATTTTAAATAATGAAAATATATTAAAATATTTTGAAAAACTAAAACAATAACAAAATGAAATGCTGGCTTGTATGTAAGAAAACTTACATAATGTGGGTAATAATTAATATACATTTTTTGACTACTTTGGGAAACTCTTGGTATTCTTTACTAAAATTAAACATATGTCCACCCAGTGATTCAGCAATTTAATTCCCAGGTAAACACCCAACAAAAATAAATATACAAGTATATTAAAAGACATGCAGAAAAATGTTCATATCATCATTACTTATAAGATCCAAAAACTGGAAAGAACCCAAGTACCTATCAATGGCACAAGTATCTATAAACTGCGCAATGGCATATAATTCAGTGATGTAGAAAAGAATTTCTGCTATATGCAATAAATGAATAAATCTCAAAACACAAATGCTTAACAAATGGAGCCAGGCACAGGGAGGATATCAGAAAGACGGTGAAATAAGAAGACCGAGACCTTATTGCCCCACAGAAACAATGACTCGACAACACTATATAGTCTAAATGCCTTTGTGAGAACTTCAGAAATCAATAAGAAACAAGCAGCACACCAAACATGCTCAAAGCCCAAAATAACTGTATTAATTTGGATAAGAAAAGCATTTCATTTCAACTGCATTAACCCCTTACCCACACTCACATAGCTTATTATTGGGAAGAAAAGCCCAGCTCACAATTTCTCCCTTGGGAGGAAAAGAGAAGATGGGAACATACAACTAACGTTCTGTATTTTTTGTGGTGCTGCTCAAAGGATTGATTTCTATCTGTCATGACTCAGAGTGCTGTCAGGGAACTAGCATACTTTGAATGCCTGTGGGCCTACCAGAATGAAAGAGAGCTCAATATCTTATGTAAGTGCCAGAAAATTTGTAATACTGCAAACAAATGGGTGTAGCTCATCACTATTGGGATGTAGCACCCAGCATATATCTTTTCCCTTGGGAGGGAAAGAGAAGACTGGAAAGCGTGTCCAATGTTCTGGATTTTTGTGGGCAGGGGTGAGTGAGTGATGATATTCTATCTCACCTAACTCAGAGGACTGACAAAACAGGTATACCTTAAATACCTAGAGATCACAGAGGACAAAAGGGAATTCAGCAGCTTGAGGCAATGCCAGAGAACATGTCTTACTATATATAGACACCAAAGGAACAAGAGACAAGAAACTCATGGAACAAAACAAAACAAAAAATCAGATTGGTAAATCTAATTGGGAAATTGCATGCAAAATCCCAGAGAAGATGCATCCCAAGAAAAAGTTTGAGAGGCCCCTAGAACCTCTAGACAGGCTGATTGGTGAAGTTCCTTCCTTTTACAGAATTAGCTCATAAAGATTTTGTAGAGGTGGCATTTTTTCTCAAATGCATGTATTCAAATACTTATTTACAAGACACACAAAGAAAAAAGAAAACATGGCCCAATGAAAGAAAAGAAATGAATCTACAGAAACTGACACCAAAGAAATGGAAATGGGATGGGTGCTTGAGGAAGATGATTCTGTTTCATCTGGCAAAAAATTACCTGACAAAGAATTCAAACTGATCATAATAAAGATGCTCAATCAGTTCAGAAAAACAATGCACAAACAAAATGAGAATATCAAGAATATGAGGTAGAAAACTTAAAAAAAATCATGAAAATTTGGAGCTGAAGAACACAATAACTAAAGTAAAAAACGTACTAGTGTTTCAGTAGCAGACTTGGTCAAGCAGAATAAGGAATATGTAAACGTGAAGACAGATCATTTGAAATTCCCAGTCATAGGAGCAAAAACAAAAAGAAATGAAAAAGAGTCCAGAGTTAAGAGATCTATGGAATACCATCAAGTGGGCCAATATATGTATTATAAGAGTCCTAGACAGAGGAGAGAGAAAAGTACAAAAAGCTTATTTGAAGAAGCAATGGCTGAAAACTAAATCTGGAAAAAGAAGCATATATCAAATGTAAGCAGCCCCATGGACTCCAACTAGTATGAACCTAAAGTAGTTTCCATGAAAATATATTATAATCAAATTATGCAGAAAAAGAGAATTTCTCTTGCTGAAAGCAGCAAGAGAAATATGACTCATCATGTAAAAGGGAGCCCTCATAAGACCATCAGAGAATTTCTCAGCAGAAACTTTGCAGGCCAGAGGGAGTGAAAAAGATGTACTCACAGTGCTAAATGAAAAAATTGACAATTAAGAATACAATTATGCAATAAAGCTGCTTTTCAAAAACGGAGAGATAAACACTTTCCCAGATAAACCAAACCTGAGGGAATTTATCACCACTGGACCACCTATATAAAAATGCTAAAGAAAGTCTTTTAAGTTGAAACAAAAGGACACCAGGCAGAAATACAAATACATATAAAAGTATGAAGCTTGCTGGAAAAGGAAAACATATAGACAAATAAAGAATAAGATAACATTGCAGTGGTGGTGCATAAGCCACTTTGAATTGTGATATAGGAGTTAAAAGACAAAAGTAGAAACATAATTATAATGAAAAATATTTTAATGAATGTTAATATAGAAGATGTAATTTGTGACATCAATAATACAAAGTGTGGGAAGGAGAGATAAAAGAGTAGATTTTGTATGAAATTGAAATTAAGTTGTTATCAGCTTAAAACATATTGTTACATCTTATGTAAGCCCCATTGTAACCATAAAATAATCTTTAGATAATACATTAAAGAAAATGAGAAAGGAGTCATTGTATGCTACTAAAAGAAAAATCAATAAACACAAAGGAAGACAAGACAGAAAAAAAGAGACAAGAATCTACACGACAGACAGAAAACACCAAAATGGTAATAGTAAGCCTTTCCCTAGCAATAATTATTTTAAATGTAAATGATTAAACCCCCAACCATGATAGAGTAGCTGAATGACTAATGGATTTTAAAAAAGATCCAACTATATGTTGTCTATGAGAGATTCACCATAATTTAAGAAAACAGGCTAAAATTATGAAAAATGATATTCCATGCAGATGGCAACCAAATAAGAAGATCAGCCATACTTATATCAGACATAATATAGTTTAAGTCAAAAATTGCCATAAGAAACAAGGATATTATATTATGATAATTTATCAGGAAGATATAATAACTACATATGCACCCAACATTATGTATACCCAAATATATAAAGCAAACATTGATAGAACTGAATGGAGAAATAGCAATGCAGTAATAGTTGTCAATTTCAAAATACCACTTTTGTTAATGGTTAGAACATCTAGGCAAAAGGTCAATAAGGAAACAGAGGATACTATACTATACTATACTATACTATACTATACTATACTATACTCCTAATACCTAACAGAAATACTCAGAATATTTCACCTAACAGCAATATACTACACATTCTGCGGGTGTGATGCTAATTATTGTCAACTTTACTGTATTGAAGAATATAAAGTATTGTTCCTGGGTGTGTCTGTGAGGGTGTTGCCAAAGGAGATTAACATTTGAATCAGTGGACTGGGAGAGGCAGACCCACCCTCAATCTGGGTGAACACCATCTAATCAGCTGCCACTATGTTTAGAATAGAGCAGGTAGAAGTTGGAAGGACTTGATTTTCTGAGTTTTCCAGTCTCCATCTTTCTCCCAAGCTGGATGCTTCCTGCCCTCAAATATCAGACTCTAAGTTCTTCCACTTTTGTACTCTTAGACTTACACCAGTGATTCGCCAGGGGCTACTGGGCCTTCTACCACAGACCAAAGTCTGCATTGTTGGCTTCCCTACTTTTGAGGTTTTGGGACTCGGGCTGGCTTCCTTGCTCCTCAGCTTGCAGATGGCCTCTTATGGAACTTCACCTTGTGATATTGTGAGTCAATTCTCCTAATAAATTCCCCTTTATATATACTTCTAGTCTATTAGTTCTGCCCCGATAGAGACCCCTAACTAATACACCAGGATAGATCACATGTATGACCACAAAACAAGTCTGAAGAAATTTAAGAAGATCATAATCATACAAACTATCTTTCCTTATAACAATGGAATGAAACTAGAAATCAATAGCAGAAGGAAAACTAGAAGATTCAGAATTATGTGAAAATTAAACAACATATTCTTGAACAATCAATGGGTCAAAAATTGTGGTATGGCTCCTCACATGGGGCACCAATGGAGGTATTGCTCCTCACAAGAGGGCCTTAGCTGCGGGGGTCTTCTCGCAGACCCTGACCCAAATGATGGATGAATAAAACGTACACTGACACACAAATATTCTGCTTTGCCAATCCAGCTGAGTGTCCGACTACCTGCACACCAAGAAAGATTTGTCACTCCAGCCAGCCCTGAGCAGCTCACACTCCAGGCATTTATTTAGAACAGAATTAACAACAGAAGCTTTGAGTAAACACACTTGAGGATAATTAACATGGTTAAGAGAGCAGTTCTATGAATGATTAAAGCTCAGATACCCCAGTCTAAAGTAAATACCATTAGGGGGCAATATCTCTAGTCGACCTCCCCACCGAGAGGACCATCTGGCTCAAAGGTTAGTTAATGGAGGTAGGGTAAACAGACTTAACTGGGGAAGCCTCTGTTGTCCCTAGTATTTACCCTATGACCTAATGCTCTAAGTTAAGAACCAGCTGCCTTCAGCCTGTTCAATTATTACAAGCTATGTAACCTTTCAGCTTTCCAAAAGGTTTGTGACTATTTCCTATAACTTTCCCTAATATTTCCCTTTAATACTTCTGCCACCATCCTGAGTGCATCCCAATAATCAAAGAAGAAATCAATTGAACTTATATAAACATAGAGCAAAAAAATGATTATTAGAGGCTGGGAAAGGTAGTGGGGGCTGTGGCAGATGTGTGAATGATTAATGGGTTGAAAATATAGTTGGAAAAAATGAATAAGACCTATTATTTGATAGTGCAACAGGGGAGCTATAGTCAATAATAACTTAATTGTAAATTTTGAATTGTAAGTTGTATAACTGGATTGTTTGTAACTCAGGATGAATGCTTGAGGGAATGGATATTCCATTTTCTCCATGGTGTACTTATTTCACATTGCATACCTGTATCAAAACATCTTGTACCTCATAGGATATGGTTTGGCTGTACCCCCACCCAAATCTCAATTTGAATTGTATCTCCCAGAATTCCCATGTGTTATGGGAGGGAACCAGGGAGAGGTAATTAAATCATGGGGGCTGGTCTTTTCCTTGCTATTCTCGTGATGGTTAATAAGTCTTGTGATGGTTACTAAGATGGGTTTATCAGGTATTTCTCCTTTTGCTTCTTCCTCATTTTCTCTTGCTGCCACCATGTAAGAAGTGTCTTTCACCTCCCACCATGATTCTGAGGCTTCCCCAGTCACGTGCAACTGTAAGTCCATTTAAACATCTTTTTTTTCCCCCAGTCTTGGGTATGTCTTTATCAGCAGTTAGTCTGCTGTTACTGTATTAGTCCTGTTACTGTATTCGTCCAAAAATGGACTAATACAGTAAATTGGTAACAGGAGTGGGGTGCTGCTGAAAAGATAACCAAAAATGTGGAAGTGACTTTGGAACTGGGTAACAGGCAGAGATTGGAACAGTTTGGAGGACTCAGAGGAAGACAGGAAAATGTGGGAAATTTTGGAACTTCCTGGAGACTTGTTGAATGGCTTTGCCCAAAATGCTGATAGCGATATGGACAATAAGGTCCAGGCTGAGGTGGTTCAGATGGAGATAAGGAACTTGTTGGGAGCTGGAACAAAGTAACTCTGGTTATGTTTTAGCAAAGAGACTGGAAGCATTTTGCCTCTGCTCTAGAGATTTGTGAAACTTTGAACTTGAGAGAGATAATTTGGGGTATAAAAGTTTGGAAGATTTGCAGCCTGACTATGTGATAGAAAAGAAAAACCTATTTTCTGGGGAGAAGTTCAAGCTGGGTGCAGAACTTTGCATGAGTAGCAAGGAGCCTAATATTCATCCCCAAGACCATGGAGTAAATGCCTCCAGGCCATGTCAGAGACCTTCAAGGGCAGCACCTCCCATCACAGGCTCAGAGACCCAGGAGGAAAAAGTGGTTTAACGGGCCAGGACCCAGGTCCCTGCACTGTGTGCAGCCTAGGGACTTGGTGCCCTGTATTCTAGCCACTCCAGCTGTGGCTGAAAGGAGCCAATGTACAGCTCAGGTAGTGGCTTCAGAGGGTGGAAGCCCCAAACCTCAGCAGCTTCCATGTGGTGTTGAGCCTTGGGTGCACAGAAGTCGAGAATTGAGGTTCAGCAACCTCTGCCTAGATTTCAGAAGATGTATGGAAACACCTGGATAACCAGGCAAAACTTTTCACAGGGACAGGCCCTCATGGAAAACCTCTACGAAGCCAATGTAGAAGAGAAATGTGGGATCGGACCTCCCACAGAGTCCTTATTGGGGCACAGTCTAATGAACCTGTGATAAGAGGGCCACTGTCCTCCAGACACCAGAATGGTAGATCCACTGACAGATTCCACTGTGAACCTGGAAAAGCCACAGACACTCAATGCCATACCCTGAAAGCAGCCAGGAGGGAGGCTGTACCCTGCAAAGCCACAGGGGTGGAGGTGCCCAAGACCATGGGAACCCACCTCTTGCATCAGTGTGACCTGGATGTGAGACTTCGAGTCAAAGGAGATCATTTTGGAGCTTTAAAATGTTACTGCTCCACGGGATTTCAGACTTGCATGGACCCTGTAACCCCTTTGTTTTGGCCAATTTCTCCCATTTAGAATGGCTGTACTTACCCAATACCTATACTTTCATTGTATCTAGGAAGTAACTAGCTTGCTTTTGATTTTACAGGCTCATAGGCAGAAGGGACTTGCCTTGTCTCAGATGAGACTTCCGACTGGGGACTTTTGAGTTAATGCTGAAATGAGTTAAGGCTTTGGGAGTCTGCTAAGAAGGCATAATTGATTTTGAAATGGGAGGACATGAGATTTGGACGGGGCAGCCACACAATGATATGGTTTGGCTGTGTCCCCACCCAAATCTTTGCTTGAATTGTATCTCCCAGAATTCCCAGGTGTTGTGAGAGGAAACCAGGGGGAGGTAATTGAATAATGGGGGGCCAGTCTTTCCTGTGCTATTCTTGTGATAGTTAATAAGTCTCATGAGATCTGATGGGTTTATCAGGGTACTTGTAAGAAGTACCTTTCACCTCCCACCATGATTCTGAGGCTTCCCCAGCCATGTGGAACTGCAGATCCAACTAAACCTCTTTTTTTTTTTCCCAGTCTCAGGAATGTCCTTATCAGCAGCAGGAAAATGGGCTAACACACCATAAATATACACACCTACTGAGTACCCACAAAAATGAAAATAAAATAAAATAATTAAAAAAGATATCAAAAGGGAAATTCGAAGATAATCTTGAGAGAAAGAAAATGGAAACACAACCTACCCAAACCTATGGGATGCAACAAAGTCGTTATTGAGGTAAGCTCATAGTGATAAATGCCTACTTAAAAAAGAAGAAAGATCTCGTATGATAGAAATTTGCACCTCAAACAAAGAAGGAGAAGACAAACTATGTCCAAAGCTAGCAGAAGGATGAGAATAATGAAGATTAGAATTAAAAGCAGTGAAATAGAAATTACAATTTTAAAGAATCAACCAAGCTAAAGGTAGGTTTTTTGAAAAGATCAACAAAACTAACAGACATTTATCTATATGAAGAAAAAAAAAGAGAAAAGATTCAAATGGATAAAATCACATATGAAAAGGGGGACATTACAACTTGTGACCCAGCAATAAATTGGATCATAAAAGATAATTCTGAACTAAAATGGTTATATTCCTAGAAATATAAAAACCTAGCAAGACTGAATCATGAAGAAATAGAAAGTCCAAAAATACCAATAACGAGTAAAATGATTGAATCTTTACCTTTGAAGGTAATAATAAACTTTCCAACAAAGAAAAATCCAGGACTAGATGGGTTCACTGGAAAATTCTACCAAGTATTTAATGAAGAATTAATGCCTAGTCTTCTCAAAATCTTTAAAAAAATTGATGAGTAGGAAACACTTCCAAACTCATTGAGGCCAGCATTACCCTAATGCCAAACAATGACTAAGACTATAACAAAAAACACAGTAGGCCAATATCTCTGATGGATATATATAAATAAGACAAATTCAGTAGCAGTAGCATATTAAAAGGATCCTATTTTATGACCAAGTGTGATTTATCCCTAAATGAAAGGGTGTTTGAACATACCCCAAAAAATAAATAAATGTGATTTACCATATTAACAGAATGAATGATAAAAATCATATGATCATCTCAATAGAAGCTGGAAAAGCATTTGACAAAATTCAACATCTTTTCATAACAAAAACCATTTTTAAAAATTAAGTATAGAAGAAATGTATCACAACATAACAAGGCCATATATGTCAAGCACACAGCTAACACCAAATTCAATGATGAAAAGTTGAAAGCTTTTCTTCTAAGCTCAGGAGCAAGATAAGGATGTCCATTCTCAGCACTTTTATTCAACATATTACTGGAAGTCTTGGTCAGAGCAATTATGCAGAAATGGAAATAAAAGACTCCCAGGTTGAAATGGAATATTTAAATTGTCTCTACAGATGTAATGATCATATATATAGAAAACTCTAAAGACTCCATCAAAAAACTGTTAGAACTAATAAATGAACTCAGTAAAGTTGTATATTTAAAAATTAACATAAAAAATCAGGTGCATTTCTATACACTAACAACACTCTATCTGAAAAATAAATTAAGACAACAATTCCATTTATAATAGCATCAAAAATTATAAAATACTTAGGAATAAATTTAACCAAGGAGGTAAAAGGCTTGTACCCTAAAACTGCAAAATATTGATGAAAGAAACTAAAAAAGTCAGAAGTTAATCAAAAGCTATCCTAAGTTCATGAATCAAAAGAATCAATATTGTTAAAATGTTCGTGCTGCTCAAAGTGATCTTCAGATTTAATGCAATCGCTATGAAAAGTTCAATGGCATTTTCCACAGAAGTAGAAAAAAATTCTAAAATTTGTGTGGAACCACAAAAGACACAATAGGTAAAGTAGCCTTGAACAAAAAGAACAAACCTGGAGGCCTCACACTTCCTATCTTCAAATGACATTACAAAACAATATGGTACTGGCATAAAAAGCAACATATAGGTCAATGCACAGAATAGAGCCCAGAAATAAGCTCATGCATGTATGGCTAACTGATCTTCAACTAAGGTACCAGGAATACATAAGGAGAAAACCATGCTTTCTTTAACAAATGATGTTAAAAAAAACTGGATATCTACAAGGAAAAATGTGAACTAGGATCCTTATACCACAGACAAAAATAAACTGAAAATAAATTAAAGACTTGAATTAAGACCTGAAATTGATTTATATTCCCACCAGCAGTATCTGATGGTTCCCTTTCCTCCACATCCTCACCAGCATTTGTTATTGTTTGTCTTTTGGATATAAGCCATTTTAGCTGGTGTTAGAAAATATCTCATTGTAGTTTTGATTTGCATTTCTCCGATGATTAAATGATACTGAGCACCATTTCATATGCCTCTTTGCCATTTGTATGTCATCTTTTGAGAAAGGTCTATTCAAATCTTTTGCCCATTTTTTATTGTATTATTTTTTTCTATGGAGTTGTTTTGAACTCCTTATATATTCTGGTTATTAATCCCTTGTCAGATGGGTACTTTGCAAATATTTTATCCCATTCTGTGGGTTGTCTCTTCACTTTCTTGATTGTATCCTTTGCTGTTCAGAAGCTTTTCAACTTGATGTGATCCCATTTGTCCAAAAAAATTAAAAATAAAAGGCCTGAAACTGTAAAATACAAGAAGAAAACAAAGGGGAAAATCTCCTCAATATTGGTCTTGCATAAGTTTTTTGGATATGACCCCAAAGCCTAGGCCACAAAAGCAAAAATAGACAAGTGAGACTACATCAACCATAAAACAAAACAAAACAAAACAAAGACACAACTGCACAGCAAAGGTACAATCAACAGTGTGAAAGGGCAAGCCATGGAAGAGGAGAAAATATTTGCAAATCATATATCTGTCAAGACATCAGAATTCAAAAATTATAAGGAATTCCTGCAACTCAAAAACAACAATTGAAAAAAATACCCCAATTAATAAAAGGGCAAAGGACTTGAAAAGACATTTCTCCAAAGAAGACATACAAATGGTCCACAGGTATTTGAAAAGAAGCTCAATATCACAAATAATCGGGGAAATGCAAATCAAAACCAAAATGAGCTATCACCTTGCGCCTGTTAGGATGCTCATTATAAGAAACAAAAAAACACAACTGCCCTCCCCACCCAAATGAACAATGTGTTGATAAGAATGTGGAGAAATTTGGATCCTTGTATACTGTGATGGGCATCTAAAATGGTGCAGCAACCATGGAAGACAGCATGGAGGTTTCACAAAAATATTAAAAATAGAATGACCATATGGTCCAGCAATTCCACTCTTATGCATTTATTAAAAATAATGGAAATCAGGATCTTGAATTGATATTTTACATTCCTATGTTCATTGCAGCCTTATTCACAATGAGCAAGAGGTAGAAATAGCCTAAATGTACATCCCACATATAAATGGATTTTTTAAAATGTGGAATACATACACAATGGAATATGATTCAGTCTTAAACATGAAGGAAGTCCTGGCACATGTGGCAATGTGAATGAACCCTGAGGATAATTTGTTCTGTGAAATAGGCCAGTCACAAAAGGACAAATACTGCATGATTCCTAGTTTATAAAATATCTAAAATAGTTTAAGCCTTAGATGCAGAAAGTAGAATGCTGATTGCCAAGAGGTAGAGGAGAGGAAATAAGGAATTGCAATTGGAATAGACCTTCAATCATGCAAAACAAAAAAGCTCTAGAGATCTGCTGTACCACAGTGTGCATATTGTCAACAATTCTATACTGTACACTAAAAAATTTGTGCAGGTAGATTTCATATTATATTTTTAACTCATAAATTTTAAATGTCAGGCACTAAACTACAGCTTTCATTGATCTGAAGTTAAAATAGGAAAATATAATCTATGGAGATAAAAGTGAGGCAGTGGCTGTTTTTAGGAGGAACAGACTGGGAGAGAGAATGAGCGGCATTTCTGGAGTGCTGGTAATGTCCACTTATCTTGATCTAGGTGGTGGTTAGATGGATGTATTCACTTTGTAAATTGAGCTCTGCACTATGATTTGTGTGCCTTTCTTTAGTATGCTATAATTTCATAAAAATAAAAAAATAGAGATGAAGAGTCAGCATATATTTTTTTAAAACCTGTAATGTATTAGGGTAAAAATAAAACAGGGTGCTTTGTTTGAGAAGGTAACCAGGCCTTGTGGCAAAAATTTAAGTTAGAGAGAACAGCAAATGCTGAAACTCTAAGGTAGGTTTTTGGATGATGGCATTATTGTCACGGTGGTGGGAATGTCATGAGGAAAGGGAAATTACTAAAAGATGAGTTGGAAAAGAAGGTAAAAGAAAGATTTATGTAGGGCCAGGCAGGCCAGTGCAGGCTTTGTACTTTCATGCTTAGTTTGATGGAAAGCTATTGGAAGGTGGCAAGTAGAGGAGTGCCAAGATATGAGTTATGTTTTTTAAAACTCTGCTGTATGGAACAGGAATATAAGTGGAAGAAAAGTAATATTGGACTAGAAAGATTAGTTGGGACACTTGGGCAGTAATCCTAGAGACAGTTGATCTAGCTTTCATAGATTGATTTTCTATAACATTTTTTTGTAAGAAAAATTGATATATTTCTAATTATATATATGTGCATAACTGTATGTATGTATACACAATACAAACAAACATATATAGAAATATTTGATATTAATTGAATAAACTAATTTCTAACTTTTGGTCAAATAATTATTTGAACTGATTGAAATATAAAAGAAATGAGTTATAATGCACTATTTATTCATCCAGAATTCAAATTGGTTTTATAAAAAATAGAAACATGGTTTTACATTTACACAATCATTAAACAAAGTATTTAATATCGTAGAAAATTAGCAGCAAAAATTTTGCTAACAATCCATATCTCTTTAAAATAATAAAGAATATTTGCAATTAAGCATTTCAAATTGTTCTTGATTTGTTGAGCATAACACATTAAAACCCCACGTGTAGGAATAGGTGACACATACACTAACACAATTTCACTTGGCAAACAGCGCATTCATTATTAGCATGTTCATGAAATGTTTAATGAGAATAATTTTCATATGCTGCATATAAAAATAAAATGCTCCCTAAAATATTACTCTTAGCCTTTTTTTGAGTAGAGTTGGTAGAACTGAAATCAAATTTCAAGACCCTGAAAAATGAGGAGGTTAACACTGAAAGCAGTTAGCACTGGCTCTGCGTTCAAGTTATTTGACGATCTGGAGATAATCTTTAAACTCCCCCAAATCAACATATGTTTTAGAAACATACACAGCATTTTCAAAGAATATATAGGACAACATTTCCATTTAGTGAGATAATTTGGACCTAAAAGATGTTTCAAGTCCCTCTCTGGTGCATCTGGAAAACTCATTAACCTTATTGAAGCCCCTCAGTTTGTCTATAAATGTGGAGAACAATAATGAATTCTGAAGATTTTTTAATAATTATATGAAACACTTATCTAAAACAGAGATCATGAACTAGTATCATGCACTCTGGAGACTTTCTGCAGAAATATTTTGTTCACCTTGCACAACGACAACAAAAGTAAAGTCGAATAATATGACAACACTAATAAGGTGGGAGATCTGATGTAAAATTCTGATGGCAGTTATATTTCTAAAAATTAAAATCTGATTATTCCAGGTCTGCATTCCTACATAAATGTAAAAAGTAGATATCCATCTAGAAGAGAAATTAACTTTCTAATTGACTGATTATACACCTGGATCACTGATTTATTGACATTGCCTTCTAACTCTAAGAACATATTAAGACTTGTGAACAAACTGGGTGTGGTGACTCATGCCTGTAATCTTAGCACTTTGGGAGGCCCAAGCAGGAGGATTATTTGAGGCCAGGAGTTCAAGACCACCCTGGGCAATATAGGGCAACCCCATCTCTAAAAAATAAAAAATAAAAATTTATCTGGGTGTGGTGATGGGTGCCTGTAGTTCCAGCTACTTGGGAGGAAGGTTGAAGTGGCAAGATCGCTTGGACCTGGGAGTTGGAGGCTGCAGTGAACTAAGATTGTGCCATTGCACTACAGCCTGGGCAACAGAGCAATACCATGTTTTTGAAAAAATAAAAATAAAAAAGCCAACAACTTGTACACAGCTAGTTAACAGAAACTTTTATTTAAGATGCTGATCATAGCACATGGATATACCTACATTCTTTCCCTAAAACCTCCATTTAATTGATAGAAAAAAAAATGAGGAGAATAAGAAGGTTGAGCAAGCATTGGTATAAAAGGTCTTTCAAAAAATTTCTGAAAACTTGAAGAGATTAGGGCAATGGTAACTGTTAAAGAAAAGCAGAGGACATGGAAGCTTACACAGGGGCTGCAGTCAGGGACGATACAGCATTCCACATGGAATCCTAGAGGCCTGTGTTTTTAAAATGCCAGATAGGAAACGTGGGATGAAATCAGATAGCAACAACAGAGACTTAATTACAGATTTTCACTTACAATTGTAGGGAATTCATCGTCAACACATGTGCAGAATACACATAAGCCAGTTTTTGCATCCCAGTCAAAATTAAGAAGGTTTTCTCAGTAGACTAGGCAAAATTTTTGGAAGACATTAAGAAAGACAGCATGGGTGGTAATGCCAAACAGCAAAGTCTTCATTTTGGCAGAGTTCTTTTTGTAGGTGTTTTACTATCTTTTTGTTTGTTTGTTTGTTTTTGTCAGGCTTCACCTACATAACCAGGGCCCCCAATTTGTTTTTTCTTTTTCTTCTTTTCCCTTTCCCTTCTTTTCCCTTTTCCTTCTTTTTCGGGGGGTTGTATTTCTTACATGAGCAGCCACACAGCACATCACAGTAGTAAGCTGGTACTAAAGTTAAAACAGCATTCAGGCATTTGCCAAATTCTGTGACCTGTTAAAGCGATAAGGTTATTGTTTTAACAATAAGGACATGTCAGGGAAAGGAGATAAGTCCCCAAGCACACAAGTTGGGTGGTTGGAACTTGGATGCCTTACACAAGCTAGGACCCTCAGGGTTTACTAAGGTGAACTAAGAGAAGTCCACCTTCCAATAAACAGAGATGGTGAAAACTTGCCTGTCTCAGACTAGACTCTGAATGGGAGATAAAGACAGCTTCCTAAAAATTTTCTAAATGTAGACTTGAATATACATAGGTATAAAGTTCAACTTTTTACTAACAGTATGGCCCAACACATTACCCTCAAATTTAAAAACTAAATTGAAGCAATCCTTTATTGGGAAAAGTACTCTGACGAAAAAATAAGCCTACTGAATGAAAAAGCCAACTCACAAATGAAGAAACATAGACGGGTAATAGACTCTCAACTTCTCTAATAATCAAGGATGGAAATTAAATCCACATAGTATTTCACATCTCTTATATCAATAAACAATTGAAAGTGTGAAAATTAGAAGGATACAGAGGAAGGGAAGTTTTATGTACTGCTGGATATGGAGGAGGAATGTACCTTAATGCAACCACTTTGGAAAGCAACATCTAAGTTAAGAATGTACAAAACCCATGATTCAGCATTTCCGTACTTCAGTGCTTATATTCTTAAAATAATCTTCCTCATAATCACTCTGAGGCATATACTAAAGTATTCTTGTTCATAGCAGGATTATTTTAAAAGAAATATAAGGTGAAGGATTAGATTATTAACACAAAAATGGATAACAAAATATAGGTCTGTCCAAACAAATAAATACTACTTAACAATGATCATGAATAAACCAGATATCTATATTTATATATTTTAAAGGCCAAAAAAGAAATACTTAAAATCATGTTAATTCTCCCTCTTAGATTAACTGAATTATGTATTATGGCTTTTTAGACATCAATTTATTTATATTAGAAAAAGGGAGTTGGTTGAAAAGATACAAGGAAATAAGAAAAAAGTGAATCTTGTTATAACCAGTCCTGTGAAAATCCGGACCACCCAAATAGAATTCAGAACTGCAATATAGTCATGGCCCTTGTAAATTAGAATGATAGAGACCAAGAAGTCATTCAGGGTCTAAGTTTGCTCTAGGAACCAGGATACCTTATGATGATATGGTCCTGATAAGAAATCAGCAGTAAGAACTACTTCTTCATTTCAGTAATTACCTGCTCCCTCTACATGTCTGTTGTTATTCACCAGTTATTTCTACTCACTGTTATTAGTAGTAGCAATGGTAGAGGCATTAGTATCATCAATTTTGTTGTTTTTCTCCATATTGCCTTTGATACTCTTTTTTTCCTGTTTCTTTCAGCTTAGACAGCTACTAGTAAACACTGGCTTTGTATAACTTAAGGATTTCAAGTTCTCAACTGAAAGAATATTACAGTTTTAATTTAGTTATCTCTTCCCTGTCAGCTAAAACAGTCATTATTAAGGCTTTTTTTAAATTTTTTAACTGAAAAATAATAATTGTATATATTTATGCAGTACAATATGATGTTTATATATATACACACACACACAATGCAAAATGATTAAATCAAGCTAATTAATCTAATTAATAATCTAATTAAACTCTCACCTCACCTACTTAATGTTTGTGGGGAGACCATTTAAAATCTACTCTTTTTACAGTTTTTAAATACATTAATACATTTTATAAAGTTCTCCATTCAACATACGGATTATCATTCCTTGAGACTGGCGTCTCCTTTGATCCAAGTGGCTGTGATTATGGTAGCAAAATCACGTTAGGCAGCTTGGCCACCAGTGCATTAAGAAATGGCTGGAGCCATAAGAAGCTATGGGCCAAAATGCCCTAGAGGAAGCTTTAGAAATGGGAGACATTACAAACCTTATCCTGTCCAGTCCTTCCTTTTAGATTTCCCAATACAGATTCCACAGTGTATATCATCTGGGTTGACATTTAATGGTTTTGAAAGCACTAATGATTATTCTGAAAAACCACAAATATTACATTAGGCTTCTAGAGAATCCAAATACATTGCAACTACAATTGAAATAATAATTGTATACACTCTAGAAAATCAAAACATGTTTTGACAGATAAGGTGTTTTTGAAAATAGTTACAATTTTGTATTCTCATTTTGTAAAGCCAGTTTTTGATGAATCAATTAGAAGAGTTTTCTTCTTCTTCTTCTTCTTCTTCTTCTTCTTCTTATTATTATTATTATTATTATTATTATTATTTTGAGACAGAGTCTCACACTGTCTCCTGGGCTGGAGTGCAATGGCGCAATCTCGACTCACCACAACCTCCACCTACTGGGCTCAGGCAATTCTCTTGCCTCAGCCTCCCAAGTAGCTAGGATTACAGGTGCTCACCACCACACCTGGCTAATTTTTTTTTTATTTTTGGTAGAGACAGGGTTTCACTATGTTGGCCAGGCTGATCTCGAACTCCTAACCTCATGATCCACCCGCCTCAGCCTCTCGAAGTGCTGGGATTACAAGCGTGAGCCACTGCACCCAGCCTTATTATTCTTAATATTGTTGCTGAAATGTTGTATATTCCTGGTTGGATTTCTAACATACAGAAATATAATAATTTCTGTATGTTATCCAATATAAATCCAATAATCCAATATAAATAATTAACAGTTATATACTTATACCATTAAATAGTGGGTAATTTACATATTGTGATATCTTGATTACAATAATTTTAACCAACAAATCTGATAGAAAATGGTATGCAGTATTATCTTGTGTTGAAGTTTTGCACCAATAACAACAAAACATTTTGATGTACTAAAAAGGCAGTGTATAAAGTAACTTGCATATTTTAAAGAAAGGTAGATGAAAGTAAAGGGTTTAATTTCAAATCATGTAATAATTAGAGAAGGAATACTACAGGTGAGTAAGAGTTTAGATATGTTCAAGTTAAATTTTATAAAGATTGGGTGGTTTCTGAGAAATTTTATTAGAAAATGGAGGGAATTGTTTTTTCTTCATCTACTTTTATTTTAGGTTCTAGGGGTACATGTGTGATATAGTTTGGCTGTGTCACCACCGAAATCTCATCTTGCGTTGTAGTTCCCATAATCCCCATGTGTTGTGGGAGGAACCAGGTGAAGGTCATTGAATTATGGGGGTGGTTACCTCTATGTTGTTCTCATGATAGTGAGTGACTTATCATGAGATCTGACGATTTTATATGGGGCTTTCCCCCGATTTGCTCTGCACTTCTCCTTGCTGCCACCATGTGAAGAAAGATGTGTTTGCTTCCCCTTCCACCATGATTGTAGGTTTCCTGAGGCCTCCCCAGCCATGCTGAACTGTGAATCAGTTAAACCTCTTTCCTTTATAAATTACTCAGTCTTGGGTATGTCTTTATTAGCAGTGTGAGAACAGACTAATATAATGTGCATGTTTGTTAAATGGGCAAATTGTGTGCCACTGAGGCTTGGTGTATAAATGATACCATCACCCAGGTCATGAGCACAGTACACCACTCTAGCTCTCTCCCCACTAAAGCAGTCCCCAGTATTTATTGTTTCCACTTTTTGTCCATGTGTATTCAGTGTTTACCTCCCACTTGTAAGTAATAATATGTGATACTTGGTTTTCCATTTCTGCATTAGTTTGCTTAGGATAATGGCCTCTAGCATTCATGTTGCTGCAAAGGACATCATTTTGTTCTTTTCTGTGGCTGCATAGTATTCCATGGTTTATGTATCACATTTTCTTTATCCAGTCCACCACTGATGGGCATCTTGATTGGTTCCATGTCTTTGCTATTGTGAATAGTGCTGCAATGAACATATGAGTGCATGTGTCTTTTTGGTAGAATATTTCTTGTGCTTTGGGGTAAATACCAAGTAGTTAAATTGCTGGATCAAATGGTAGTTGTGTTTTAAGTTGCTTTCTACAGTGGCTGAATTGGTTTACATCCCACTAGCAGTGTATAAGTGTCACCTTTTCTATGCAACCTTGCCAGCATCTATTGTACTTTGACCTTTGTTAATTTTTTTTAAATTTTTTTATACCTATCTTTTTCCTGCAGTATTTTCTTTGACTTTTTTAGTAATAGCCATACTGACTGTTGTGAGATGGTATCTCCTTGTGGTTTGAATTTGCATTTGTCTAATGATTTGTGATGATAGCATTTTTTCATATATTTATTGGGCACATGTATGTCTTCTTTTAAGAAGTATCTGTTCATGTAATTTGCCCATTTTTAATAAGGTTATTTATTCTTTATGCAATAGCTTAAGTGTTTTATAGATTCTAAATATTAGAACTTCATCTGATGCATAGTTTGGGAATATTATCTCCCATTCTGTAGGTTGTCTGTTTACTTTGTCAATAGCTTATTTTCCTGTGCAGAACCTCTGTAGTCTAATTAGATTCAACTTGTCAACTTTTGTTTTCATTGCAATTGATTTTGGGGACATAGTCATAAACTCTTTGCTAAGGCTGATATCCAGAATGTCATATCCTGGTGATTATTTCAATAGATGGAGAAAAGCCTTTTCAAAAAAATGCAACATCCCTTCATGTTAAAAATCCTCTACAAGTTAGACATCAAAGGACCATACCGCAAAATAATAAGAGCTCTATATGACAAATCCACGGCCAACATCATTCTAAATGAACAAAAGCTGGAACCATTCCCCCTTGAGAACTGTAACACGATAAGCATGTCCACTCACAGCCTTTCTATTCAACATAGTACTGGAAGTCCTAGCCAAAGCAATCAGGCAAGAGAAAGAAAAAAAAAAAGCATCCAGATAAAAAGAGAACAAGTCAAACTATTTTTCTTTGCAGGCAATATGATTCTATACCTAAAAAGCCCCAGAGGCTCTGCCAGAAGGCTTCTAAAATTGATAAATGACTTCAGTAAAGTTTCAGGATATAATGCCAATGCACAAAAGTCAGTAGCATTTCCATACACCAACAATATTCAAGTTGAAAGCCCAATCAAGAATGCAATGCCATTTGCAACAGCCACAAAAATAAAATATCTAGGACTATAGCTTACCAAGGAGATGAAAGATCTCTAAAATGAGGATTACAAAACACTGTTGAAAGAAATTAGAGATGACACAAACAAATAGAAAAACGTTTCATGCTCAAGGCCAGGAAGAATCAGTATTGTTAAAATGGCCAGAC
Organism: Homo sapiens; assembly: GCF_000001405.40. Lineage (NCBI taxonomy): Eukaryota > Metazoa > Chordata > Mammalia > Primates > Hominidae > Homo > Homo sapiens. The sequence continues at coordinate 91,807,956 of NC_000004.12, read as the reverse complement.
TGCCCAAAGCAATTTATAGATTTAATGCTATTCCTATCAAATTACCAATGTCATTTTTCACAGAATTAAAGAAAACTATTCTATAATTCACATGGAATCAAAAGGGCCAAAGCAATCCTAAGCAAAGAACAAACCTGGAGGCATCACACTACCCCAGGCTACAGTATTCAAAGCAGTATGGTACTGGTACAAAATAAACACATAGACCAATAGAACAGGATAGAGAACCCAGAAGTAAAGCCATACACCTGCAACCAGCTGATCTGCAACAATATTGACAATAACAAACAATAGGGAAAAATCTCCCTAGTCAATATATGGTGCTGGGATAACTAAGAGCTATATGCAGAAGATTGAAGTCCAGGATCTCCATTTTTCACCCTATACAAAAATTATTATAACTCAAGATACATTAAAGACTTAAATGAACGTGTAGTTTTATACCAAAGAAATATAACTAAACAACGAAAGGATGCTTTTAAAATTATTTTTCAATTTTAATCTAATAGTATTTTATTTCCAATTCATACAGAATCATAGATAATATAAGAGTTATAAATCCTTTTGCATTTGAAGAACCTTCAGAATTACAACAGATATGATCATCATTTTCCCTTCAGAAAACAAGTGTTGTCTGATACAAAAACACAGGAGGAAAGAAAGACAATGACACAGAGAGACAAAATAATAGAAAGTGTTCTTTGGAGAGTTTAACAATATATTGCAGCTGGTATGGTGATTTCATACTATTCTTCATAAATAGTGTATGAAAAAAACCTAGCATTGCTGATTCTAAAATTATACCAAACTCTCAAAATAACAGTAATTTTAATCTGTTAGAAGGAAAACAGTGTTAGAAATTTTTCCACACCTGGCTGAAGTGTCAAAAAGAATGGACTTTTTGATAATATGTAAAACATTTGTATAATCTGCATATGACATGAAAAAAATGCCACCAAAGCTGATTAGTAGGTTATGAGTAGTTGAAATGCAATAGATAATCTTCGGATGAAAGCATCCTTTATGGCAGAAGCAAAGAAATAAAATTTAGAAAGATGGGATTTGGACTTATGCTATATATGAGAGTTAAAATTCTAAATATGATGTATGGACAGGGAGAGGCATATGTTGGATCTAGTCCATTCTATATATTCAAATGTGCATACTCATACCTTGATTAATCAATATTGTATAAATATGTAAACTAAGACATTTTCTTATTATTCTTAAATCTTGCTACCCATGTATTATAAAAAGAAACACTATAGAAAAAATCACTATTGAACTGATCACTTTTAAAAATCATGCTTTATTTTCCATTCTTCATTCTAGTTTTTGGCCACTTGTATACATACTTTTTACAAGTTCACAAATATTGAAGAGACAGAATGTTAAATTCTTAGAATTTCTTTATAAAAATCGTTTTTAAAAGATGATGCAAAGCATTTTATACCTATTTTAATTTTATTAATTTAATGCTGACAAGGATGCAGAGAAAAAGGAAGTCTCATACACTGTTTTTGGGAATATGAATTAGTACAGCCATTATGGAAAACAGTACGGAGGTTCCTTAAATGCTAGGAATAAAACTACCATATGCTTCAGCAATCCTACTGCTGAGTATTTATATTCAAAATAAAAGAAATGAGGATACTGAAGGTATATCTATACTCTCATGTTTATTGCAGCAGTTTTCACAGTAGCAAAGACATGAAGTCAACCTAAGTACCCATCAACAGAAGAATGGATCAAGAAAATGTGGTATGTATACACAATAGAATAGTAGTAAACTATTAAAAAAATGAAAATCTATCATTTGCAGCAACATGGGTTATTAATCTGTTTTCATGCTGCTGATAAAGACATGGACAAAAAGATGGTAACAATAGACGCTGGGGACTAATAAGGGTGGAGAGCAGGAGGGAGCCAAGGGCTGAAAAACTACTTGTTGGGTATTATGCTCCCTATCTGGGTGACAGGATCATTCATACTCCATGCCTCAGCATCATGCAATATATGCATGTAACAAACCTACACCTGTAACCCCTGTATATAAAAGTTGAAATTATAAAAAAATCAAAATCAAAACATTACAAAAATTATGTATTTAAAATACTAGTGGTTTTCAAGGTATATTTTAGTATTTTTTAAATTATAAAATTTATTTTGACAACTGTAAAAATTAGAATTGAGAGCAGGATTACATGAAATGAGACAAAAATAAAAAAATTAAAAAGCCTGATGTATGATGGACTGATGGTTAAGACCAAATAAGGATGCCCTGTTCATCTCCACCCTCATTTGTCTAAATAACTCCAATTCATCTTAGGTTAGTTGCCAGCTCCTCAGGATAGGTCAGGTACCTGAGCTACATGTTATTTTATTATATCCTCTTTCCTTCTGAGCTCTTAGTGTCTAATAATCCATTCATTAGTGATTCAAATCAGACTCCTCCCCCAGATTTGGTACAGTTCCAGAAACTTAGTTGCTACTTATTAAATATAGGTTGATTAAGTAATTTTCTTGGCAGAAGAAGAAAATATATGTATGTTGACTGGAAGGGTTAAAGAAATCCTCATAAAGAAGATAAAACATGTAATAGGCTTTGATGAATTGATAGGTTGTACAGAAGGGAAAGGATTCCAAGCAGGAAAACATTAATAAATTGACAAATATGGTACTAAGAATGTATTTGTTGGGGATGAATCTGGCATTTATGCTAAGTCATAATTTCTTAATGCTAGGGAAAGTTAACAATCTTAGAGAAATTACTGAATGTAGGTCAATGTCAGTCTGATACATTAACCTAACAACTGTATTAATTTTGAAAGACAAGAAATTTTAAGAAAAAGAGTCTCTGGACCAAATTCATCAACCCAGAGGCGGGATATGCTTTGTTTTGTCAGTAATTAGGATATGGCCAAAGTACAATGTGATGTATTGATATATCAATGGAGCAAAACCAGTTAAGGATCCTTAATGTTTAGCTATTTAAAAGATTATCGAGATAGATGTTGGAGCTGCCAATACTGGCAGCAGTTTATGGCATAAAAATATATATAACTTAAGCCTTAAATCACCTAAAAAGTATAAAACATGAATTGCAGATTGACTATATTATGACACAAATTACATGGGCATAAAGTGAAAATAAATGAAACAGAAATTTATGTTCTTTTTCTTCCTTGCCACCCTACCCCTGCCAACCAATGTTTTCTATTCTCAACATAGCGAACAGAATCATTCTTCCAAAATGTAATTCAGACCTTGATGCTGCTTTGCTCAAAATCCTCCAGCGACTCTCCTTAACTCCATGTGAAAGCAACATGTAATGTGGACTTCATGTGCAGTGTCTGGCCAATGTCATATATCTGACTTCTCCAACTGCTCTACTTCCTAGTCATTTCATTTTGGATGCAATAGATTTGTCTCTTTCTTTCACACGAACTACTTTTCCCAAAAATATTCATGGTGCTAATGCTTTATCTTTTCCCCACTACACTTTAATCAATGAGTCCTATCCTGACCATATTATTTCAAATTGAATCTACACTCCCCTTTATCCACTCCTATCCCCTTTATTCTCCTTTTTATAGCACTTATTAATTTTAGCATTATTTATAAGTGAATTATTTTTCATGTTTATTGTTCATAGTCTATATTCCACACCACCACTAAATGGAAGGTACTCCAGTACTGTATTTCTGTCTATTATGTCTACTGATACATTGTAAGGTCCTAGAATGGTACCTGGCACATAGAAGGCACTTAATAAATACCTGTTCATAAACTGAATACAGGCATATTTTGAAGATATTGAGGGTTCAGTTCCAGACTACTGCAATAAAGTAGATATTGCAATAAAGTGATTCACACAAATTTTTTTTATTTCCCAGTGCCTATAAAGGTTATGTTTACACTATATTGTAGTCTATTAAGTGCAATTGCATTATAACTTTAAAAATAATATATACCTTAATTAAAAATACATTAAAAATGATAACAATCATCTGAACCTTCAGCAAGTCATGTTCTTTTTGCTGGTCGAGGGTTTATCCTTGATGCTAACAGCTGCTGACTGATCAAGGAGGTGGTTGCTAAAGGTTGGGGTGGCTATGGCAATTTCTTAAAATAGGACAAGAAGTTGGCCACGTCAATTGACACTTCCTTTCATGAAAGATTTCTCTGTAGCATGCAGTGCTGTTTGATAGCATTTTACTCACAGTAGAACTTCCTTCAAAACTGGAGTCACAGTTCTCAAGCCTTGCCACTGCTTTTATTAACTAACTAACTTTATGTAATATTCTAAATCTTTTATCATTTCAATGTTATTCATCTTCACTAGGAATAGATTTCAGCTCAATAAAACACTTCCCTTGCTTATTCATAAGAAGCAATTCCTCATCTATTCAATTTTTGTCATGAGATTGCAGCAATTCAGTCACATCTTCAGGCTCCACTTCTAATTATAGTTCTCTTATTATTTCTACTACATTTTCATTTACTTTCTACACTGACTTATTGAGCCCGTCAAAGTTATCCATTAGGATTGGAATTAATTTTTTCCAAACTCTGGTTAAAATTGGGATTTTGACCTCCTCCAATGAGTCATGAATGATCTTATTGGCATCTAGAATGGTGAATCCCTTCCAGATGGTTTTCAATGTACTTTGTCCAGATCCACCAAAGGAATCATGATCTGTGGTGACAATAGCCTTACAGAATGTATTTCTTAAATAATAAGACTTGAAAGTTGAAATTACTTCTTGATCCATAGGCTGCAGAATGAATGTTGTGTTGGAGGAATGAAAATGACATTGATCTCTTTGCACAGCTCCATCAGAGCTCTTGGGTGACTAGGTGCATTGTCACTGAACAGTAATATTTTGAAAGGAATCTTTTTTTCTGAGCAAGAGTTCTCAACAGTAGGCTTAAACTACTCAGTGTATCATGCTACAAACAGATGTGTTGTCGTCCAGGCTTTGTTCCATTTATAGAACACAGGCAGAGTAGATTTAGCATAATTCTTAGGGGCCCTAGCATTTTTGAATGGCAAATAATCACTGACTTCAATGTAAAGTCACCAGCTGCATTAGCCCCTAACAAGAAAGTCAGCCTTTCCTTGGAAGCTTTGAACCCAAGCATTGGCTTCTCCTCTTTAGCTATGTAAGTCCTAGATAGCATCTTCTTCCAATGTTAGGCCATTTCATCTACATTGAAAATCTGTTGTTTATTGTAATTATCTTCATTAATTATTTTAGCTATATCTTCCAGAAAACTGGTTACAACTCTACATTAACACTTCCTGCTTCATTTTGTGCTGTTATCTTATAGATTTGGCTTTTTAAAAATCTCATGAACTAACCACTGCTAGCTTCTAACTTTTCTTCAGTAGCTTCCTTACCTCTTCCAGCCTTCAGAGAATTGAAGAGATTTAGGACCTTGATCTGAATTTCACATTGGTTTAAGGGAATGTAGTGGCTGGTTTGACCACTAAAACTTTTTCCATATCAGCAATAAGTCTATTTTGCTCCCTTACCATTTGTGTGTTCACTGGAATAGCACTTTTAATTTCCTTCAAGGACTTTTTCTTTACATTGACAACATGGCTTACTATTTGACACAAGAGGTCTAGCTTTTAGCCTGTTTTGGCTTTTGACATGTCATTCTCACTATGCTTAATCATTTTTAGCTTTTCATTGAAAGTGAGAGAAGTGTAACACTTCCTTTAACTTGAACGCTTACAGCACACTGTAGGGTTATTATTTAGCCTAATTTAAATATTGTTGTGTCTCAGGGAATAGGCCTCAGGAGAAGGAGAGGGATGGGGAAAGAACTGGATGGTGGAAGAGTCAGAACACACAAAACATTTATGTATTAGGTTTGCTGTCTTATATTTAAATGGACATATTCATGATGTCCAAACTATTACAGCAGTAATATCAAAGATCATGATCATGGATCCACCATAACAAATACAATAATAATGGAAAAGTTTGACATATTGCTAGATTTACCAAAATATAACATGGAGACATGAAGTGAGCACATGCTGTTGGAAAAATGATTGCTGATAGACTTGGTAAATGTGAGATTGCCCCAAAACTTCAATTTGTGAAAGAGTGTAATACCTGCAAAGCACAATAAAATAAGGTATCACAGTCAATGAATTAAATTTGACTGAAGATGTTAGAAAAAAGTAGGCAAATCAGAGATTAAGGTGGCTTTATATAGAATATAGAATAAGAAATATAAAGAAAAGACAGCATTGACTGTGGCATAATTGGGGGAGAGCCATATTTGATCAAGACAAAAGATTGAAAATGAAATAAACTGAGAAAGAATGAAAAGAAATTTCCAGTAATAAAACAGAGTGCACATAGTTCTAAGAAATGGAGAGAAATGAGATGAGTTTGACTTGAGGGTGTGGGGATGGATTATGGGAATATGAGTGTTTGGGTAAAGGAAATGGAGAAAAACATGTGTGCTAGGCATTTCAAAGGCCCACTCAAAAATTACTCTATATTAAGGTGAGAAAACCTTGGATTATTTATTTTTTTGAAAGATATTATCCGTATATTAAAATATTATACATTTTATTAAATGATTAAGTTATATTTATAGTAATATCTTTCTTTTTAAGCCCCTACTATGTGTCAGATCCACTGTCAAGCAATTTTCAAAGTTTATCTCTTTTAATCCTCACAGTAGCTCAGCATAAATTTGAGAGATGATTCACTTTATTTCAGTATTTGACTAACCTGATTTCTACTTTGAAAAACTGAAATCTTCATCATGTTCATTGAATATGCAAAGTGCAATCTGGGTCTGGTCTCAAGAGTTCAGTATTAGAAATGTCTTGCTTGTATTATTAAACAATTTCATAACCCAATTAAAAGGTAAAGCAAACAAGGAGAAAACATATTTTTCCCACATGCCAGTCTCATTATTTGTACAACACATTTATCTCTAATTAAGAAGGTATCTAGAGTACTCCATACATTGCCATTTGTTATTTCTTACATGAACCCATATTTCTGGTTCTCTTCTGAGGAAGTCTACATCTTAAAATACTTCTTTGCTCATATTTCATTTTAAAATAATTATTTTCATATCTACAGGCCATTGGAATCAATCATCTGGCATATACACATGAGACTCTATATGTTTTTATCTTATTTATTAAAGAATAAGATCCATCTATATAAAATAAGCGTAAAACATTCTCTAGGTAAAAATTCATTCTCAAATGGATAAATTAAAGATCATGAAGTGTAGAATAGATATCAAAGTATTGAATTTTTCAACAAAGAAATTTAGTGTCAATCAGTAATAACAACTGAAAACTGAATTATTTCATATGTCAATAGATGATGCTGTATGACACTCAAGCTGAGTAAATACCATGACAAATATATACTTGACAGCCAATAAATATATGTTTAAAGAGTCAAATATATACTTGACAGCCAATAAATATATGTTTAAAGAGTCAAATATATACTTGACAGCCAACAAATATGTTTAAAATATATGTAAATATTTTGACCCATCAAAAATGCTAAATAGATACAAATGTCCACTAGTAACATTTTATTGTTTTCGCATTTATAAATAGGATGAAATATGGATATTTGAAAAATAAAATACTGAAAAAGTAATAACATTTTCAATTTAGAAATAAGCTATTGTACCCATATTTTTAAAAATAACATTATTCTTATAAATGTCATAGTCTTTTGTCATGTTTTCTGAATTACAGTCACTATGAATGAATCATTAATTAATTGACTCTTTTTTTATTATCTTCACCACTTTTTTGCTCTTCCCTTGGCTCTAGAAACTTAAGGTTACATTTCAATAAAAATTATCTATGATAAATTCCTTTTCTGACAACATATTGACATACCACAAATACAGTATTTGTAAAAATATTTGTATTTAATTCATTTGCTTCACTATTTGCATTTGCCATTCTGTCTGTTTCTAGAGAGACAGAGAAAGAGAGAGAGAGAAGAGAAAGAAAGAGCGCAACATTTTGTAGCTAGTTATCTTTAGTAATAATGTATAATTTCTTAACTACAATTTTAAATAGCACCTTATAAGACATTGACTAACCCATACATATTTTCTCTTCATTTTCAACGTTCTTAGTGCTGTTTATAAAACTAATATTATTAAGCTGTATTAATTCTTTGAAGATGAGGAGCTATATCATACAATATTAAGAATGTTTTCTTAAAGATAGAAATAATATTACATTATGTTAGGATATAAATCAACATAAATGATAACAAAGGCTTTTGATCAATTAATAGTGGTTACAATTTTACTTAATTCTTCTCTACAATCCCTCCAACAAGTTGTCATTCAGCTGTCCACTCAAGTGCCTTCATGGAAATAGATCCTTCTTTTTAGACTATTCTAGAATACTTGAAATATCTGTCTTATATATGACAAAAAGCATGTTCTTTGAATTTTCACTTATTGCCTCTGGACCTGCTCGATCGGTCTAAAATAAACAAACTATATTATCCCCAGCTCCACTCTCATGCATCCTTCATTTCACAAATTTTTTGTGTGCTACTATGTACCACAACGAGTCAAATATTGGATATACAGATTTTTAGACATACCTTTCCTTAAATTGTGCACATTACAATGGAGAAGACTAAGGCAATAGTAGATTATTACAATATGCTTTGATAAATGCTTTCATAGGATCAAAGCAGGTAGTTCTATCACAACATGATATGTTACCTAATGCATCCTGGAAACAAAAGGAAATTAAGTATTTCCAGGTCTGTATCTTTTGCTCTCCCTAGGATGTGCAGTCCAGTTGTGTCCAGAATTGGTTCCTTCCAGTGGGTTCTTGTTCTCGCTGACTTCAAGAATGAAGTCACGGATCCTTGCGGTGAGTGTTACAGTTCTTAAAGATGGTGTGTCCGGAGTTTGTTCCTTCAGATGTTCAGATGTGTCCGGAGTTTCTTCCGGAGTGGGTTCATGGTCTTGCTGACTCCAGGAATGAACCTGCAGAACTTTGCAGTGAGAGTTACAGCTCTTAGTCCAGAATTGTTTGTTAGTCCCAGTGGATTCATGGTCTCGCTGACTTCAGGAGTGAAGCTGCAGACCTTTGCAGTGAGTGTTACAGCTCATAAAGATAGTGAGGACCCAAAGAGTGAGCAGCAGCAAGATTTACTGTGAAAAGTGAAAGAACAAAGCTTCCACAGCGTGGAAGGGGAGAGTGGCAACCAGGTGGCCAGCTTTTATTCCCTCATTTGGTCCTGCCCATGTCCTGCTGATTGGTCCATTTTACAGAGCACTGATTGGTCCATTTACAATCCTTTAACTAGACAGAGCACTGATTGGTGCATTTACATTCCTTTAGCTAGACAGAAAAGTTCTCCAAGTCCCCACTCCACCCGGGAAGTCCAGCTGGCTTCACCTCTCACAAGGTAGCAGTGTAGGTGTGCTCTGTCCTTGTAAGCTTTCATCATCTCCAGTAGCAGCAAGCTGCTTTCTGTAATAGCCATAACCTTTCTATATATATCAAGGCAGGGAGGCACAAGTAACTAGAATAATAGATACAATATCCTCCTTGACACTGAGACAAATATTCTTCAATCTAATAACATTTTTGGGTCCTTTTTGTTTCTTGGATATCACTACTTCTTCGCTGCAGTTATTTATCCTTACTTTACATCTATTCTTCATGTTCTTCTTTTAGTTAACTTTCCCTCATTAACTTTAGATATTTTATTTCATAATGACACAACCCATTTTTCTAATTTTCTTCTTATATTTCAGAAAAATTTTCCCCAATTCTCTTTACTGGTTTCTGCTCAGCTTTATCAAAAGTTTACTCAGGGCTGTGTCCCACTCCTCATTTTTCACAAATTTGGTTTTGGTGATGCCATCTATTGTTAGGGATTTAAAAATCATTTCTACACTTACAGAGTCCCAAAGTTTTCTCTTCAGGCAAGGCTACTTTTTTGGATTATCCCAGACAATTACTTTTTTGATATTCCATGTGGGTGTCTCACAGACATCTGAAATTCATAATGCCCAAATCTGAAATCACATCTTTAAAATATTTCTCCCTACACGCTCAATTCCTGTGATTCTATATTCAAAATACGACTGTATTCTATTTACATTTTTCCATTTTCACTGCCACTATTTTTGTTCAAAACACCAGTGTCTCAAGCTTGGAATATTGAAACAGCTACCTAAATCATGTCTTCATTTATCATCCTATAAAATTTCTAAGCTTTATTTTAATATGACTCAATCACTTCCTTCCTTAAAAAACTTCAATGGCTTTCCCTTGTATATAGAATAAAATTTCAATTTAATAATAAAGCCTGTAAGACCATGAAAGTCTCATACTCATGTGAGTCTCTTCAGAACTAACTTCCCTTTATCCTCTTTTGTATTCTTTTATTTCACCAAAGGCACCAGGCTCTTTTCTGCCTTATAGGCTTCCTTTGTGCTAGGCATGTTCTTATTACACTTCTACCATGACTGACTCCTTCTACTTATCATTCAGAGCACATCTTAGGTGGCACTTTTCTACATGGAATTCCCTGATGCTGTACTCTTTGGCTACTTTACAGGATTTGTTACTTTGTGTTATAATGCTTATATTCAAGCTTTATTTATTAATGGCTATCTTCCCAACTAAACTGTAAGCTCCAGTTTGATCAGGGACCAGCATCATTCGCTTCAAGGCAGATGTATATTGTATTTTCAAAATGAGAATTTGCAGTTTTTACATTAACATATAAAAACATATAGGCAGAACACTATTTAACAAAATCACCAGTATTGTTTTATTTTACAAGATATTTTAGCAATATTTGACAAGAGTAAGCACCTTATGCACAGTTTCAAATACTGCCTTTCTCAAAATACATTTCTAGTAAATATTGTGTGAATAAGTCAATGGAAGATTCTTTATTGAAAATGAAAATGAGATCACAGTATCAAAAAATTAAGACCATAATATCAAAATGATTTTTTGGGGGTGATGGATAGGGTCTGACTCTGTCACCCATGCTGGAGTGCAGTGGCGACATCTTGGCTCACTCCTTGTTGCCCAGGCTTAAGTGATCCTCCCACCTCAGCCGCCAGACCGCAGGCGTGCACCACCATGCATGGCTAATTTTTGTACTTTTTATAGAGATGGAGTCTCACCATGTTGCCCAGGCTGTTTTCGAACTCCTGAGCCCAAGTGAGACACCTGCCTTGGCTTCCAAAGTGCTGGGATTACAGGCCTGAGCCACCATGCCCCACCACATTTTTTTAATATGAGATACAGGTCTTCATTTGGTTTCTCAAGTCACTTATTTTTACTTATGAAGTCTCAAATTTTTGCAACAATATTTTTTGAACCCTTTTGATTCCAGAATGCAGTATATATAGTGAGTTCAAAGAAAGTCAGAAATGAATTTGAAACCTGTCTGGGTAATTACTTGCTTGTGTAACTAAACAACTAGTAATTTACTCCACTGAGCCTTGCCTTTTTGCTTATACATTATGATAATAATATACGTCAAACTAATTTGGTTGTAAGTAGTTGCTCAATAAAGTGAAAAAATTTGTTCTCTAAGAAGATAATAAGTACTGCAGCAAATGTGAAAACACATACACTCTCATTACATTTTATCATTTAAGGTACTCATATCTCTCAGATACAGGATTCAGATAGATCTTTAGTTTGATTATTATAAAAATTAAATCAGATCAGGTAAACAGGTTATCTGAAATAGGCCTACTACTTTATTACTGAATAAATGCTGACATTTAAAAAATTATAATTATCATCATAAGCAACAGCATTATCGTTGTCATCCAGAAACATGCACAAAAGGGAATTGCATCATAGTTTAACCTTAAAGCTCCCAATTTGTAAGTGATTACTAGAGTTCTGAGTAGATGTTAGTTAGTGAAGAAGACTAAATTATTTTGTGTGATAATGGAAGAATAATATGGATCTTGGTTAATTTATGCATGGTAACAAGGTATTTTTCCTAAGAGGAAGCTACTGTGTGTATTTAAAATGTTCATATCTAAGGTAAAGTTTTACAAATGAAAAATTAATCATATTAATTATATTCATCACTCTAGAAAATTCATGCCAAAATAATAAAAACAAAAATAATTCAGACAAATATTTTACTTATTTTTAATTTATTTATCCAGCATCACCTCAGTTATTTCACAACTCAATCAGACAATATTCCAAGGAAATCTTGCCTTTATAAGTCATACTAAAACAATTTATTTCGTATGATTTTAATGATATATGCCTAAATAAAAGGACTTAAAATGATGAAATTGTATGTTTCCATAGAGTAAAATTATAATTTATAGATTCAATGCTATCCCCATCAAGCTACCATTGACTTTCTTCACAGAATTAGAAAAAACTACTTTAAATTTCATGTGGAACCAAAAAAGATCCCTTACAGCAAAGACAATCCTAAGCAAAAAGAACAAAGCTGGAGGCATCACACTACCTGACTTCAAACTATACTACAAGGCTACAGTAACCAAAACAGCATGGTACTGGTACCAAAAGAGATATATAGACCAATGGAACAGAACAGAGGCCTCAGAAATAATGTCACACATCTACAACCATCTGATCTTTGACAAACCTGACAAAAACAAGCAATGGGGAAAGGATTCCCTATTTCATAAATGGTGTTGGGAAAACTGGCTAGCCATATGCAGAAAAATGAAACTGGACCCATTCCTTACACCTAAACAAAAATTAACTCAAGATAGATAAAGACTTAAATGTAAGACCTAAAACCATAAAAACCCTCGAAGAAAACCTAGGCAATACCATTTAAGACATAGGCATGGTCAAAGACTTCATGACTAAAACACCAAAAGCAATGGCAACAAAAGCCAAAATTGACAAATGGGATCTAATTAAACTAAAGAGCAGAGACATGGATGAAGCTGGAAACCATGATTTTCAGCAAACTAGCACTGAAACAGAAAACCAAACACTGCATGTTCTCACTTATAAGTGGGAGTTGAACAATGAGAACATGTGGACACAGGGAGGGGAACATTACACACCAGGGCCTGTTGAGGGGTGGGGTGATAGGGGAGGGATAGCCTTAGGAGAAATACCTAATGTAGATGATGGGTTGATGGGTGCAGCAAACCACCATGGAACGTGTATACCTATGTAACAAACCTGCACATTCTGCACATGTATACCAGAACTTAAAGTATAATTTAAAAAAGAAAAGATTTACTACAAAAAAAAGAGAAAATTTACCAAAATATGCTATTTGTTCTTTTGCAGCTTGAGTTCTTAGAATAAGAATATTTTCCTGGTAAATTGGAAACAATTCACTTTTATAAATGGTTGAAGGATACAAGAACAGTTCACTTTACGGAACTCTAGACTCTTACTACTTCATGCAAAATTTATTAACACTTAATTTATAAACACAGTATTTTATAAAAACTATACATTTCATTTATATCACCCATTCTTTTGCAATTCTTTGTATTCATATTAAAGTACAATATTAGCTAACATTCTATTTCATATTTGAAACTTTTACTTCTAGGCAAAATTGAAATACTACAGCAAATTTGATATTTGCTTCCAACATGAATCCAAAAGTTTATACCATTTCCCAAGGCTTCTCATTATTTAGCTTACTAGAGTCTATTATTGTGCATTATATTAGATAAGCACTTGGTTATAAACCCAAATACTGCAAGCTATGGGGGAAATAATCTAATAATTATGAGCTTCAGCTGGTTAATGTGTAAAAACCAAGACAGTACATCTTCCCTAACTTTGCCCACAATTTGACATGAAGGTATTGTACTAAGTGTCTAAGCAAGCTGGACTAGTTGGAAAGGCTCATCAGGCTGATGAAAGTTTGAAAGATGGTAATATTCAAGGGTATAAATTAGGACATAAATATTTATTCATTTAAGACATAAGTCAGGAGAGGACCCCATGGAGTCTTTTGATCAAATAATAGTGGTTACCAGTTCAATTTACAGAAAAAAATATTTGAAAGTTAAAAGCATAGTTAAATATAATTAAACTTATTTATTTGATAGTAAATTCTCAGTTTTTTATAATCATAAAACCCAATAAATAGCAAAATTTAAACCTAAAAACTAAACCATATTAAATGCTCAAGAGTTATGAAGAAAAGAGCCTTGATTTCAGAACTTCCTTAAGGGGCATATATTTTAAAAGTTAAGCAATATCATGATTAAGAATAAATATGTAACAAAAAACATTATTAGACTCTAAAGAGGTTTGAGATACTTAAGGGTTCTCTTTCCTAATAGGCCTAGTATCATCTCATCGTGATAAGCATGTTCTATTACTGTTTGGATCAAACCTTGTCACCCTTACCATTTTGAGCCAGCTCTGGTTTCTGAGCCCATTGACACAGTCTAAGATATGGTCTTCCTATCTGTGTCCTTTACTTGCTGCTGCCAGGCCTTTCTTGCTCAGATACTTAGCTCTCTAGACTTATCTGTATCACTTCTGCAGGTGTTTAGCCAAAAAGAAAAACAAAGTGAAGGAGAATTAGGCAAGGTTGTTTCTCTATCACATAAAACTTCAGCAAAAGGGATTTAAGCTGGTGCCTAAATAGATAAATAGACAGGTTAGGGAGCCAAGAAAGTTATCTATATTTTTATAGAAACTTAATATATGTGAGAGCAAGCAGTAATTATCCAAAGGTAAATTTTAAAAAATGGTTATCCACATGGGGAGAAAAAATAAATTTAATTGTCTCTTCAGACCATAAATAAAACTCAATTCTAGGAGGATTAAAACTTTAAATACGACTTTAGGGTGGGAAAGGACATCTTAGCTCAGATTTTATTAATGACAAATATTGGAAATATTAGTTAATTAAATCATCATAAATTTTAAAAATGAAAAGGAAAAACTGAAGGTTTTTTTGTGTTAGATTATTTTTTGCAAGATATTTAACATATGTCACATAAAATATGACACACATAAACATAATGTAACAGATAAACTATAAAAATGCATATAATTGTAGTCAATTTAAAAAGTAATTTTTCTACTGGGGAGGCTGAGGCAGGAGAATGGCGTGACCCCGGGAGGTGGAGCTTGCAGTGAGCCGAGATCGCGCCACTGCACTCCAGCCTGGGCGACAGAGCGAGACTCTGTCTCAGAAAAAAAAAAAAAAAAGGAATATTTAATGTCATTAAAAAAATCACTGTAATAAAATATAAAAAAATCTAAAGACACAAATAAAAATTTTACAAAAGCTTACACATAATTAGCCAATAAAAAATATGTTCAGTCTCTTAGTTTCTGATAACACAAATTTAACCAAAATAAGTTATTATTATTCCTTCAACAATTTGGCAAAAATAAATAAACAGTGACAACACAGTAGGTTGATAAGAATATAGGGAAAGAAAAATTTAATTTGTTGTTTGTAGAAATATAAATTGGTATATCCACATTGAAAAGCATACATACTTCATGACTCTTTTTTCTCTACAGAACATTTTATTTGTTTGGATGAGAATTGTTATAAGACTGTTCATAGAGTTATTGTTTGTAATAGGAAAAATATGTATAAGCCACCCAAATATCTACTGACAAGATAATAAATATACCTGTCATATATTTACACAGTAAAATATGATGCCCTATTTTAGTGAATAAGAATGCAACCTCTGGAGTCAGATTTCATGGATTTGAATTTCACATCTGCTACTAATTTTTATTATATTACAAATGTATTTCTATATTACACTAATTGTTCTAAATTTTTAATCTCTGTATCTCAGCTTGATCATGTATAAAATGATATGATAATTTCTACCACTTTTTCTGTAGAAAATAAAGAATTTGGCTTTCTGGAAGATGGACGAATAGGAACAGCTCCAGTCTACAGCTCCCAGCGTGAGCGACGCAGAAGACGGGTGATTTCTGCATTTCCATCTGAGGTACCGGGTGCATCTCACTAGGGAGTGCCAGACAGTGGGCGCAGGCCAGTGGGTGCGCGCACCGTACATGAGCCGAAGCAGGGCGAGGCATTGCCTCACCTGGGAAGCGCAAGGGGTCAGGGAGTTCCCTTTCCGAGTCAAAAAAAGCGGTGACGGACGCACCTGGAAAATCGGGTCACTCCCACCCGAATATTGCGCTTTTCAGACTGGCTTAAAAAACGGCGCACCACGAGACTATATCCCACACCTGGCTCGGAGGGTCCTACGCCCAGCCCACGGAATCTCGCTGATTGCTAGCACAGCAGTCTGAGATCAAACTGCAAGGCGGCAGCGAGGCTGGGGGAGGGGCGCCCGCCATTGCCCAGGCTTGCTTAGGTAAACAAAGCAGCCGGGAAGCTCGAACTGGGTGGAGCCCACCACAGCTCAGGGAGGCCTGCCTGCCTCTGTAGGCTCCACCTCTGGGGGCAGGGCACAGACAAACAAAAAGACAGCAGTAACCTCTGCAGACTTAAATATCCCTGTCTGACAGCTTTGAAGAGAGCAGTGGTTCTCCCAGCATGCAGCTGGAGATCTGAGAACCGGCAGACTGCCTCCTCGAGTGGGTCCCTGACCCCTGACCCCCAAGCAGCCTAACTGGGAGGCACCCCCCAGCAGGGGCACACTGACACCTCACATGGCAGGGTATTCCAACAGACCTGCAGCTGAGGGTCCTGTCTGTTAGAAGGAAAACTAACAAACAGAAAGGACATCCACACCGAAAACCCATCTGTACATCACCATCATCAAAGACCAAAAGTAGATAACACCACAAAGATGGGGGAAAAACAGAACAGAAAAACTGGAAACTCTAAAAAGCAGAGCGTCTCTCCTCCTCCAAAGGAACGCAGTTCCTCACCAGCAACAGAACAAAGCTGGATGGAGAATGACTTTGACGAGCTCAGAGAAGAAGGCTTCAGATGATCAAATTACTCTGAGCTATGGGAGGACATTCAAACCAAAGGCAAAGAAGTTGAAAACTTTGAAAAAAATTTAGAAGAATGTATAACTAGAATAACCAATACAGAGAAGTGCTTAAAGGAGCTGATGGAGCTGAAAACCAAGGCTCGAGAACTACGTGAAGAATGCAGAAGCCTCAGGAGCCGATGCGATCAACTGGAAGAAAGGGTATCAGCAATGGAAGACGAAATGAATGAAATGAAGCGAGAAGGGAAGTTTAGAGAAAAAAGAATAAAAAGAAATCAGCAAAGACTCCAAGAAATATGGGACTATGTGAAAAGACCAAATCTACATCTGATTGGTGTACCTGAAAGTGATGGGGAGAATGGAACCAAGTTGGAAAACACTCTGCAGGATATTATCCAGGAGAACTTCCCCAATCTAGCAAGGCAGGCCAACGTTCAGATTCAGGAAATACAGAGAATGCCACAAAGATACTCCTTGAGAAGAGCAACTCCAAGACACATAATTGTCAGATTCACCAAAGTTGAAATGAAGGAAAAAATGTTAAGGGCAGCCAGAGAGAAAGGTCGGGTTACCCTCAAAGGGAAGCCCATCAGACTAACAGCGGATCTCTCGGCAGAAACCCTACAAGCCAGAAGAGAGTGGGGGCCAATATTCAACATTCTTAAAGAAAAGAATTTTCAACCCAGAATTTCATATCCAGTCAAACTAAGCTTCATAAGTGAAGGAGAAATAAAATACTTTACAGACAAGCAAATGCTGAGAGATTTTGTCACCACCAGTCCTGCCCTAAAATAG
Source organism: Homo sapiens (assembly GCF_000001405.40). Lineage (NCBI taxonomy): Eukaryota > Metazoa > Chordata > Mammalia > Primates > Hominidae > Homo > Homo sapiens. The sequence continues at coordinate 91,790,205 of NC_000004.12, read as the reverse complement.
CTCCTGAAGGAAGCACTAAACATGGAAAGGAACAACCGGTACCAGCCACTGCAAAATCATGCCAAAATGTAAAGACCACAGAGACTAGGAAGAAACTGCATCAACTAACGAGAAAAATCACCAGCTATCATCATAATGACAGGATCAAATTCACACATAACAATATTAACTTTAAATATAAATGGACTAAATTCTCCAATTAAAAGACACAGACTGGCAAGTTGGATAAAGAGTCAAGATCCATCAGTGTGCTGTATTCAGGAAACCCATCTCACGTACAGAGACACACATAGGCTCAAAATAAAAGGATGGAGGAAGATCTACCAAGCAAATGGAAAACAAAAAAAGGCAGGGGTTGCAATCCTAGTCTCTGATAAAACAGACTTTAAACCAACAAAGATCAAAAGAGACAAAGAAGGCCATTACATAATGGTAAAGGGATCAATTCAACAAGAAGAGCTAACTATCCTAAATATATATGCACCCAATATAGGAGCACCCACATTCATAAAGCAAGTCCTGAGTGACCTACAAAGAGACTTAGACTCCCACACATTAATAATGGGAGACTTTAACACCCCACTGTCAACATTAGACAGATCAACGAGACAGAAAGTCAACAAGGATACCCAGGAATTGAACTCAGCTCTGCACCAAGCTGACCTAATAGACATCTACAGAACTCTCCACCCCAAATCAACAGAATATACATTTTTTTCAGCACCACACCACACCTATTCCAAAATTGACCACATACTTGGAAGTAAAGCTCTCCTCAGCAAATGTAAAACAAGAGAAATTATAACAAACTATCTCTCAGACCACAGTGCAATCAAACTAGAACTCAGGATTAAGAATCCCACTGAAAGACGCTCAACTACATGGAAACTGAACAACCTGCTCCTGAATGACTACTGGGTACATAACAAAATGAAGGCAGAAATAAAGATGTTCTTTGAAACCAACGAGAACAAAGACACAACATACCAGAATCTCTGGGACGCATTCAAAGCAGTGTGTAGAGGGAAATTTATAGCACTAAATGCCCACAAGAGAAAGCAGGAAAGATCCAAAATTGACACCCTAACATCACAATTAAAAGAACTAGAAAAGCAAGAGCAAACACATTCAAAAGCTAGCAGAAGGCAAGAAATAACTAAAATCCGAGCAGAACTGAAGGAAATAGAGACACAAAAAACCCTTCAAAAAATCAATGAATCCAGGAGCTGGTTTTTTGAAAGGATCAACAAAATTGATAGACCGCTAGCAAGACTAATAAAGAAAAAAAGAGAGAAGAATCAAATAGACACAATAAAAAATGATAAAGGAGATATCACCACCAATCCCACAGAAATACAAACTACCATCAGAGAATACTACAAACACCTCTACGCAAATAAACTAGAAAATCTAGAAGAAATGGATAAATTCCTTGACACATACACTCTCCCAAGACTAAACCAGGAAGAAGTTGAATCTCTGAATAGACCAATAACAGGAGCTGAAATTATGGCAATAATCAATAGTTTACCAACCAAAAAGAGTCCAGGACCAGATGGATTCACAGCCGAATTCTACCAGAGGTACAAGGAGGAACTGGTACCATTCCTTCTGAAACTATTCCAATCAATTGAAAAAGAGGGAATCCTCCCTAACTCATTTTATGAGGCCAGCATCATTCTGATACCAAATCCAGGGAGAGACACAACCAAAAAAGAGAATTTTTGACCAATATCCTTGATGAATATTGATGCAAAAATCCTCAATAAAATACTGGCAAACCGAATCCAGCAGCACATCAAAAAGCTTATCCACCATGATCAAGTGGGCTTCATCCCTGGGATGCAAGGCTGGTTCAACATATGCAAATCAATAAATGTAATCCAGCATATAAACAGAGCCAAAGACAAAAACCACATGATTATCTCAATAGATGCAGAAAAAGCCTTTGACAAAATTCAACAACCCTTCATGCTAAAAACTCTCAATAAATTAGGTATTGATGGGACATATTTCAAAATAATAAGAGCTATCTATGACAAACCCACAGCCAATATCATACTGAATGGGCAAAAACTGGAAGCATTCCCTTTGAAAACTGGCACAAGACAGGGATGCCCTCTCTCACGACTCCTATTCAACATAGTGTTGGAAGTTCTGGCCAGGGCAATTAGGCAGGAGAAGGAAATAAAGGGTATTCAATTAGGAAAAGAGGAAGTCAAATTGTCCCTGTTTGCAGACGACATGATTGTGTATCTAGAAAACCCCATTGTCTCAGCCCAAAATCTCCTTAAGCTGATAAGCAACTTCAGCAAAGTCTCAGGATACAAAATCAATGTACAAAAATCACAAGCATTCTTATACACCAACAACAGACAAACAGAGAGCCAAATCATGAGTGAACTCCCATTCACAATTGCTTCAAAGAGAATAAAATATCTAGGAATCCAACTTACAAGGGATGTGAAGGACCTCTTCAAGGAGAACTACAAACCACTGCTCAAGGAAATAAAAGAGGATACAAACAAATGGAAGAACATTCCATGCTCATGGGTAGGAAGAATCAATATCGTGAAAATGGCCATACTGCCCAAGGTAATTTACAGATTCAATGCCATCCCCATCAAGCTACCAATGACTTTCTTCACAGAATTGGAAAAAACTACTTTAAAGTTCATATGGAACCAAAAAAGAGCCCGCATCGCCAAGTCAATCCTAAGCCAAAAGAACAAAGCTGGAGGAATCACACTACCTGACTTCAAACTATACTAAAAGGCTACAGTAACCAAAACAGCATGGTACTGGTACCAAAACAGAGATATAGATCAATGGAACAGAACAGAGCCCTCAGAAATAACGCCGCATACCTACAACTATCTGATCTTTGACAAACCTGAGAAAAACAAGCAATGGGGAAAGGATTCCCTATTTAATAAATGGTGCTGGGAAAACTGGCTAGCCATATGTAGGAAGCTGAAACTGGATCCCTTCCTTACACCTTATACAAAAATCAATTCAAGATGGATTAAAGATTTAAACGTTAGACCTAAAACCATAAAAACCCTAGAAGAAAACCTAGGCATTACCATTCAGGACATAGGCATGGGCAAGGACTTCATGTCCAAAACACCAGAAGCAATGGCAACAAAAGACAAAATTGACAAATGGGATCTAATTAAACTAAAGAGCTTCTGCACAGCAAAAGAAACTACCATCAGAGTGAACAGGCAACCTACAAAATGGGAGAAAATTTTCGCAACCTACTCATCTGACAAAGGGCTAATATCCAGAATCTACAATTAACTCAAACAAATTTACAAGAAAAAAACAAACAACCCCATCAAAAAGTGGGCGAAGGACATAAACAGACACTTCTCAAAAGAAGACATTTATGCAGCCAAAAAACACATGAAAAAATGCTTATCATCACTGGCCATCAGAGAAATGCAAATCAAAACCACAATGAGATACCATCTCACACCAGTTAGAATGGCAATCATTAAAAAGTCAGGAAACAACAGGTGCTGGAGAGGATGTGGAGAAATAGGAACACTTTTACACTGTTGGTGGGACTGTAAACTAGTTCAACCATTGTGGAAGTCAGTGTGGCGATTCCTCAGGGATCTAGAACTAGAAATCCCATTTGACCCAGCCATCCCATTACTGGGTATATACCCAAATGACTATAAATCATGCTGCTATAAAGACACATGCACACGTATGTTTATTGCGGCATTATTCACAATAGCAAAGAGTTGGAACCAACCCAAATGTCCAACAATGATAGACTGGATTAAGAAAACGTGGCACATATACACCATGGAATACTATGCAGCCATAAAAAATGATGAGTTCATGTCCTTTGTAGGGACATGGATGAAATTGGAAATCATCATTCTCAGTAAACTATCGCAAGAACAAAAAACCAAACACCGCATATTCTCACTCATAGGTGGGAATTGAACAATGAGATCACATGGACACAGGAAGGGGAATATCACACTCTGGGGACTGTGGTGGGGTGGAGGGAGGGCGGAGGGATAGCATTGGGAGATATACCTAATGCTAGATGACGAGTTAGTGGGTGCAGTGCACCAGCATGGCACATGTATACATATGTAACTAACCTGCACATTGTGCACATGTACCCTAAAACTTAAAGTATAATAAAAAAAAAAAGAAAAGAAAATAAAGAATTTGTATACACAAAGAGCTTAGAACAGTTTCTGGAAAATAATGAGTACCAGATAAGCACTGTTTATTTTATTATTTGTGCACAATGATGAAAATGAATAAATATATTTCTGGGATGATCACATGGTAAAATGAAGTTATTTAGTATAATGTTGAACCATAAAAACGTTTGCCAGAAAAATATGTACAGTATGTTACTAATCGTAAGGATTTCCAAAACAATGATAATCAATACAATGTAATGTTTGGATGTGGTTAAATTTGTGATAAAAATATTTAAAAGAAAAAGAGAAGCAGGAAGCAGTTAATTACAATTTTAATCAAAGCAATAACTTCTTGAAGCAGAAGGGTGGGAAAGGAACAGGAAACACAGTGACTTTAAAGAGAGCAGTAATTTCAAATGTTTTAAGCGGGTTGTGGGTTTACTAGTGCCATTCATTATACACTACTGATAGATTACATATTATTTTGTGTATAAAATATTTCTGAACAAAAATAAAAAAACATTATTCACAACCATTTGTAGCACACTCACTTTCAGGATTACTAGAAATAGAGTAGACAGCCATCTTGGGTTTCCAAGGATGGAAGAGTCTCCCTAAATGCTGGCAGTTCAGTGCTAAAAATGGGACAGTCAGTAGGCAAACTGGAATGGTTTGTCACCCCAGAAATACGTTAGCATACGTGCAAATAACTAATGCCACCCAAAAATAACTCATCAAGCTCTCCATTAATTTCACATATAGTAACAAACAAATTTCACATATAGTAACAAACATAAGTTTTTGGAGATTCTTGTGTTCCTTTTCTTATATGCATGTATCTCTATTTATATCACTTTCAAGTTGTTTTCACCCATATCCCTTTTCGTAAACTATCTGATGCTCTTTTTTATTTTTTGGAAACTCTTTAACTGTTATTAATGAAGATTTTAAGTAAATTTGGCTTAAAGCCTGAAGCCAATCAAACAGAAGTGTGCATCTCTCCAAACTGCATGTGTTGTCATTTGTGATCAAGAGCTTATATTCTTAATCCTGGTAATTAATACACATACTTTGTAATTTGAAGTATCACCTACTGTTAAATAATACATTCTTATTACTAATGTCAGAAAATGGAAACCATAATTTTTGTTGGTGATATTTTCTACTATCAATCATTCTGACGCATACTATCCTGGAACTATGAGATCATTAAGAGATGAGCAGGTCACAGTCTCAAGAGTCACATCTTCTCAGGAAAGATAGCTCATTGTCACATTTGCACATGTTAGTTGAATATTTTTTCTAGTCACATTTAGACCAGTGACCACTTGAATGCAAATGGAATTTATTTTTCTATAAAATTCCAAATATTTTACCATACTTGATATGATCTAGATACTAGCTTGTCTCTGTAAGACTTAATATCCTAGCCATTTACAACTCCTGCTACCCTGTTTATTCTGGTCACAGCAGTCCCTTTGTTCCAGAACATGTCAAGCAGGCTTTCTCCTCTGGGACTTAGTTATTTCACAGTGTGTCTGTTTCTCCCTGGAATACTTTACTGTTAAGTTACTCTCCCTTAATAAGTCTTTCTCTCCATTTTTATTCAAATGTTGCCTCAACAAAGGACCCTCCCTTTATTAAATGGAAAAACCATATTGACATCCAAAAAATGATTTTATTTTGTTATTGGAACTTTAAAAAAACAAATGAAAGTGTGCATATATCAGATTCATGTTTTTTTTTCTGGTAACATTACTAATTTCTTTAAAAGTGGCTTTCTGTTTTAGACTTTCTCTTGTGATATGTGAATTTAGATAATATTATATAATATGTGAATTTAGATAATATAATATGATATTTCTAGTTACATGGCTTAATGGAAAATGTAACTTGTGGGCATGAATAAGAAGGAGTTAAAGACTTAACTTCTGTCTTGGCTTTTATAGACTTTGATAAATGACTTACACAAGTCACTTGGCTCTTTTGGCCTCCATTATGAAATAAGGATTATAATAATATTTTATACCAGTATAAAGCAGGGAGAAAACAGAACATCTCAGGAGGTTCTTCCTGCTATGAGATTCATTTTTCACTCTCATTTGTTTACCATGACCATTGGGCTATTATCTGGTTGAGAAGGAGTAGTTTGAAACTTTTACTATTTGGTGTGAAAAGGTTTACTACCTTCTCATATTTACAGTTGACTGAGGTATAATTGTAGTACAATAAACTACGAATGCTTAAAGTGTACAACTTGCTAAGTTTACATATAAATTTATTATTTATTTATGTATTTATTTATATTTCTATATCACTACAATCATTATAATAAACATTTCCATTCACCCATTTGTAATAGATCCTTTGATCCACTACCTCCTACCCAGGCAATCACTACACTGTTTTCACTATAGATTAGTTTGCATTGTCTAAAATTATTCATCAATGAAATCATACACTGTGTAGTTTGATTTAGTTTGCATTTTATCACTCAGGATAATTATTTTAATATTTATATGTTGTATGTTTTAACTTACTTAAAATATCTGAATATTATTCCCTTATATCAATATGCCACAATTTATTTATCCATTTACTTACTGATAGACATTTGTATTATTTAGAGTTTTTTTGTTTTGTTTTTACTATTACTAATACAGATGCTCTGAAAATTTATGCAAAAAATGCTTACATGAACGTACGCTTTGATTTCTTTTAAGGAAACACCTAAATGTGGAATGGCTGGGTCACATGTTGAGTGTAACTTTCTAAGAAACTACCAAACAGTATTCCAAAGTGCTTGTAAAATTTTACATTCCCTCCAGGAGAGATGAGAGCAGCAGTTGTTCCTCATGCTTGACAATATTTCAAATGGTCAGTCTTTTTAGTTTTAGACATTCCAGTGGGTATAAATTGGCAGCAATTGGCATTTTCCTAATGACTGATGATGTTGAGCTTCTTTTCACATGCTTATTGCCATCAACACACCGTCTTTGACAGTGTCTATTGAAATCTGTTATTTTAGATTGTAAGGATAATTTACATATGCTATTATTATAATACCATATATTTGTTGGGCATGAGATAATATTTCTCCCAGCCTGTGGTTTGCCTTTTTACTTTCCTAAAAGAATCTTTCAAATAATGAAAGTTGTAAATGGTGTAAAGCCAAATATAGTGATTTTCTTCCTTTTTGATGCTTTTTGTGTTATTTTAAAATCTTTTACAATTTTTGTTTTATCAAGAAGCTTTAGGATTTTAGCTTTTACATTTGGCAATAATCCATTTCAACTAAACTTATGTATGTAATGTAAGAAAAGGGTCATTTTGCTGACTGTTAATTGACCATATATATATATATATATATATATATATATGCATATATATATATATATGCATATATATATATATATATATATATATATATATATGCATATATATATATATATATATGCATATTTCTGGGCATTATATTCTGTTATATTGACCTATGTGTTCACTTTTACAACAATATCGTACAGTCTTCATTACTATAGCTTTGTAATATAAATTGATATCAAATAGTGTAAGACCTTTGATTTTGTCCTTTTTCAAAATTGTTTTTGACTATCTTAGGTTCTTTCTATTTCCATATGTACTATAGAATAAATTCATCATTTTCTACAAAGCAGCCTGCTGAGGTTTTTATAGGTATTATGTTAAAATGTATACATTAATATGGGAAGAATTGACATTTGAAGAATAGTGATAATTCTGACTCATGAACATAGTATATCTTGTCATTTATTTAGATCCTCTTTAATTTTTCTAAGGAATTTATTGTACTTTTTAATGTACTAAAATTATACTGCACTTGTCAAATATATTTCTACCTTATTGCAGGTTTTTAATGCTGCTGTAAATGATACTAATTAAGATATTATTTTTTGCTGATCATTGCTAGTGTTAATAAATAGAATCAATTGCTGTAGATAGCATTGACTTTGTATCCAGAAAACTTACTTAATTCTCTCATTACTTCTAAAGTCTTTTATATAGATTCCTTAGGATATTCTAGATAGCTGGTTATGTTTCTGTGAACTAAAACACTGGTATTTCTTTTTTTGCTGTCTAATGATATTTTGTTTCTCCCCTCTGCTCAACTTTATTATATTGGTTAAGAAGGTCATTTTTTGGCATTTTACTATGGTGAATTATATTGATTTTCAAATGTTACACTGATTTTGCATTCCTTGGAGGAAAATACCCCACGGGATCTTGATGCTACCTTTTCACGTAATGTTGACTTCATCTTGCAAAAATTTTGTTAATAATTTTTTGTCTGTATTCATAAGAAATATCAGTCTGTAGTTTTCTTGAAATACCTTTTTATCTAGTTTTAGTATCAGGGAAATGTTCATCTGAAAAAATGAAATTACAGAGAGAATTGGTAAAATATCTCAGTAAATTATGAAATCAGCAGAAGTTGATGTTTTCCTCAGGGAAATATTTTAACTGCAAATTTAATATCTTTAGTAGATATAAGTCTACTCAAATTGTGTATTGCCTCCCATATGCACTTTAGTAATAAATGTGCCTGTTACATCTATGTTATTAAATTTATTGCCATAAACCTGTTAGTAATATTTTTGAATTAACTTTTTAAATCTGTACAATGTAGAATTTACACTGATATTCCCTCACTCATTCTGTCATTGGTAAATTTTGCCTTCTCTGCATATTTCTTGGTCAGAGTGTATAGAGAGCTATCATTATGATTATTTTAAAAACTAGATTTGCCTATATTTTTTTCCTATTATTTCTGCATTGTCTCTTTTAATAATGTTTGCTATTATTTTTATTATTAAATTTCTTCTGCTTGCTTTGGTTTTAATTTTCTTTTCTTTGTTTTCTAATTTCTTAACTTGGGAAGTTAGGTAATTGCTTTTAACATTTATACTTGAGAATTGTCCCACATGAACATGCTGATCAGCACTCAACTGAAGACTTGAGGAAAACCCTCTGAAGTTCTTGGGTCCTCTCTCTCTATCTCCAGATTTTTCCTCTCCATTACTTTACAAAATTTACCTGCCTTGGCCTCCCTAACTCTGAACTCTGTTTCCTCCCTAGGAAGGTTGCTATGATCTGTTTGGGTTTCCCCTTTCTGCACTGCTGACTAGAAACTCTCTCAAGGCAACAGGCTAAGGTTCCCCATTTGTTTTCATTCTCTCAAAGATTAATGTATGTTTCCCCAAATTTGAAAGCCATTGTTTTAGCAATTTGTCCAATTTTCTGCCTCATTAAGATGTCAAGGTTAATCTGATTTCTGTTGGCCCATCATGGTCAAAACCAGAAGTGATTATAAGCTTTTGGATACAGACACACAACCTAACAAGAAATATTGATATTTTCCTCAGTTAATTAGTGGAATGCCAAATTAATTTAGAAATGTACCACTGCCGTTAATTATCACAGTCATGTCATCACAAGTATTGATAGAACATAACATTTAAGTTTGAAACCACAGAAATAACCCAAAAGATAGTAAGATCTTTCAGCTATGGCTTTATGTTAACAAGGACTAAGACCAAGATCAACAATTATTTAATGTATTACTTTGATGATGCTTTACATCATGGATTGATTAATCCAGTGATTTTCATTTACATTTTATTATTAAATAATTTCTAGTTTCACTATGATCATTTTAATAATCTGTATTTAAACATGGCTGTTCATAGTATATGCTTTTTGGGGTTTTTTTGCTTTTATAAAACAAACACAGCTTAACCCATTTTGCAACATCACATTCTGAGTCACCAGAATTTTACACCTCTCCCTAATAAACAGTGACATCCACTCTTCACCATATGCTCAGATCTTTCAACTACAAAACTCTTTGAATTCCACTAAACTCCATGTGGCTCAATGTAGTCCCCAAGCCGTTAGAGAATTTTTACCTAAGTGACCAGAAGCATGGTATTAACTATGGTACATTGAAAATGGCTCTCATGACATTTGATACCATTACATACAACATATTCTTCCAACAGTTAGGAAAGAAAGAAATTCATTGGTGCAAAAAGATATCATTATTTAAGTAAAAAAGCCGGTAGTACATATTTTGTAATGTCAATCAAGATTATTAGTTAACATAAAAATAATAAATGTTTCTGTATAAAAATAAAATAAAAATATTCTATTAGTGGCTAATCATGAAGGAAAATGCCACTGCCATGTCATAGTGAAGTGATCTTCAATTTTATTTTTCTACTCATATACTTTTATTCATGTACTCCCATATAAACTCACATATACAAACAAACCCCTCTTTTTCTGTTACTTTTGGTAGACAATGCAATAAGAGGAAGAAATTGTTTACATGTATGATCTACAAATGTTCTAACACGTAATTACAATGCTTAGATATATGGTTAGTTAAGATGCAATTGAAAGCAAATATAAAAACATGCTGAATGAAAAATCTTTTGGTATAATTCAATTATAAATAAGTTATCACTAAATGCATATTCTGGCTTAAAGTCACTTGATATTTAAACAGCAATGATATGCAGTTTGAATTCAGAATCTACATTTATTTATGATTCCCATGAGGTTGTAGAAATCATTCCCGTTTTGGGTATGACTGAATAGTAGTAGAGAAGAAATTTTCAACATAACAGAAGTACTAAAGAAAGAATCTAATTTCCCTTCTTCTAATCATCTGGACATGGTGATTTATAGATTGAAGATTGTAGAGAAATCAAGACAAGAGTTTCCTAGCATCAAGAAAAAGAAATTCTCCTAAAATTCATACAAGCTGCCCAGAATTTTTGGAGCTTCCTAGAAATTGTTCATATTCCACATAGTACAGCCATAATTTTCACTCACTGAAAATGCTGGTAACAACCTTTGTCAGCAAGAGGAGGAAATAGATTTGATCTATTTATTCTCTAAAATTGTACTACCTGAAAAGAATTTCTGAGATACTTAGTATTCCTCATAGACATTCTAGTAGTTTTGTTAATATATGAATCACAGGGAAATAATATGCCATTTCTGGGTAGTTCTGAATTTATATAAGTTAACAGTGAGTAAAAAAGATCAAAGAATTAATTGTGACCCTTTTCAGCATGTATTAAAATGACCTTAGATCTTTAAAAAGTCAGCAGAATTAGAGTTTATTAGGTTGATTAAAAGTCCCTTTTAATGGGACACTTTTTAATGCTTTTTCTCCTGCTTAGTGATAACTCAGCCTTTTATTCATAGACTGTGCTGTGTGACAAGATGATGGTTTCTATAACATGTAGTGGCCACTCAGAAACAAATTTTAAAAAGAAAAAAACTCACCAAACTTCAGATCTGAAAGAAACCATGAAGAATATGTAGTTCAATATGTCCACCTTACAGATTATGAAATTGCCCAGTTCTCATTGTAGACTTCTCCAATTCACATGGAGAGTTTCCTTTATTGCTTTACTCCCACAGACTAATCACATTATACATTGAAATGAGCATGTGTACTACTGTTTGTCTACCATGAAGAAATAGAAAATCTGAACAGAAAAAATATGAATGGGGACATTGAATCAGCAATCAAAAATTTCCACAAAAACAAAAGCCCAGAATAAGATGGCTTCAAGAGTGAATGCTACCAAACACTTAAAGAATAATTAATGCCAAATTTTCACCAACTCTTTCAAAAATATGAGGAGGAAGAAAGACTTCCAGACTCATTCTATGAGGCCAACTTTACCTTGATACCCAAATCAGGCAGGAAGGAAAAAAAAAATTACAAATCAAGATTCCTGATGAAGATATCTGCAAAAATCTTCATTAAAATACTGGCAAATCAAATTCAACAGCCTATTAAAAGAATCACACACCGTGATAAAGTGGGATTTATTCCTGATATGTAAGAACAGTCTGACATATGAAACTCAATAAATATGATACACCACATAAAAAGAATGAAGGATAAAAATCATGTGATTATCTCAATAGAGAGAAAAACTATGGAGTCTTGATAGATAAGTAAGCAACAAGGAAGGGGTCCCATGTGGAGAACAATTATTCGGACAGACAGCGAATCACAGAGAAACTGCTGGCACAACATCCTGTTCCCAAATACATCATTCTGCATGTAGCCCCAGCAGCATGACAATATCCTTTATACCTTATCTGCACACAGTCCCTCCAGCAACACTCTATAAAACCTCCCTCCAGCTCCTGCCTCTTCATAGACATCCCCTTCTCTGCCATGCTGCCCATTGCATTCTTGCAATGTATCTTCATAGTTTCTCTAACAAATCGACCTTTTTTTTAACCTATAACTTTCTTGGCATATTCTTTTACTGCCCAACCAGCCTCAGTCAGTGACACCTGCAACATTTTGGTGGCTCATACAGGGAAATTACCCCATTCTCCCTACGTCCTCTTCTTCAACTCCAACCTCTCAGTGGACAGCATCCAAGCCCAGAGATAACTGACAGTCCCTAGCCAGGGGCACTCCAAGGTGGACCAGAAGGTTCACATGGAAAGATGCCTGACCACCACCAGTCATAACATGGGCCCTGACAGCCCAGAGGACCTCACCGTTTTGGCTCTTCACTTAATCAGCCAGGCTTCTCCAGACAGTAGACACAAGCTTTAAAAGCTAGATCAGAGACCACAAACCCCTATTATCACATTGCTGGACACACCCTTCAAGGTCTTCAATATCTGAGTGGAGGTCTTGAAAACTGAACAGGATAGGAAAGAATGAGAGAGAGATAAGTGGCAGGCCCACAGTATGGTCGCCACTGTTGCTAATTCCCTACGTATACTACTCTGGATGAGAGTTTAGAGTTTGCTTTTCTTTTCAGTATTCCAGTGGACACTCTCTAGTATCCTCTGGCAACTGATGGCAACTGGTCAGGGCCACTCCCTGATGTAGCCTGAAGGCCAGGGTTGAACAGGTTGGCTGCCTTGTCTGGAAGGGAGGAAAGGTCTCTTCTATTCTTTCTGATCAAAAGTCCCCAATCCCTATGTGTGGCACAGTCAGAAGAGTAAGCTCGACCATGGTGAATTCACATGTGTTTTGGGGAACTCAGAACCCCTCTTTCTCACTCTAAATTATAGCCTGTAGATAGCCAGCCTCTTTGCTCTGGACGTCTTAAGCCAGGTAATCCTAAACAGCACCAGGACAGTGAGTCTGCCATAAACCTCTTTCTTTTGTACCTGTACTGAGCACCCAGCATAACTGGGCTGGCCATGCAGTGTAATTCTTACCTGGACTGACCTGGGGTTGCTCACCCAGTGTTCATCCAGTGTAAGGTTGTAGCACTGGGAGATCCTTTCCAATAGGTGGGACACTCCTCTGGAAAGTGCATCTCAGAGTTTTTCAGAGGACGTCAGTGGAACCCTTTTCCCTCATCAGGACACCCCAAGAGGAATCACAGTTCATATCCCCAGTGGACATTCTTTCCCAGTCCCTCCATGGGACAAAGACCCTACATTTCCTCAGATTTACCCCTGGGCTACATTTAAAGCATTGGGATAAATTTGACTCTCAGACTCTCAGAAAGAAACATCTAATTTTCCTGTGTAATACTGCAAGGCCACTTTATAATTTCTGGACCAGGAATCCACGTGGCCTCCAGGTGGGGAGATTTCACCCAACACTTTTCTTAAGCTTGACTTTTTTTTCTGCCATAACTCCTCTAAATGGTCTGAAGTTCCTTATGTCCAGGCTTTCATGACTTTCCCAGGATCCTGACCTCTGCCAAACTTGTTGATTGTGCTTGGCCAAATTCTCTGGCCCCACTGACTCTTCCGAAATTCTAGACTATCCTTCTTTTACTCTCTCCCATTATCTCAAACTGGCTAGACTAGTTGAGGCTGAGCCTTCTTCCGTTGACAAATCACCTTCACATTCAAGTATATCTACCCCATCTGTTCCTTCCTCTCCTCCTTCCCCTAGACCATCAGCCTCTAATCCCTCTCCTTCCCCTCACATCTGCAACCCCACAACCCCTCCCACTTATCAGAGAACCTTCTCCCCTTCACATACTTGATCTAGATCTTGGACCACTTATGATCACAATATGGCCCCAGAAAAACTTCTGCCACTCTGGGATGTGGCAATGAAGGATCTAGGAACCATCAGAATCCATGTCTCTTTCTTAATGTCTGACCTTTCTCAAATAGAAACCAAACTTAGTTCCTTTAGCCAGGTCCCTCCCTTTTCATAAAAGAGTTCAAGTGATTTACTGGTTCCTTCAATCCTACTTGGTAACACATCTATATTATGTTTACCTCCTATTGCACTCATGAGAAAAATTACCACATTTGGGTACTAGCTGAAAAATTGGCAGATGAGTTTAACAACTAGAACCCTCGAGAATCTGGCTTTTGTAGGATAGCAGTGCCTGATGTTGATCCTAGGTGATGCTACCAGGAGGGAGATGCTGACAGGGTACTCCATAATCATGTTTGCATATTCAATTGAGAGCATTAAAAGAGCTGCACTTAAACCTGGAAACTATGCGAAATTAAGAGAGATAACACAAGGGCAAAATGACAACTCAGCCTTATTTCATTCCAGGCTGGTGGAAGCCATGAGAAAATATACTAATATGAACCCTGAATGCTCAGAGGGCCTCACTATTTTGTTTGTTCACTTTATCAGCCAGGCTTCTCCAGACATTGGACACAAGCTTTAAAAGCTAGATCAGAGACCACAAGCTCCTTTCCTCACATTGCTGAACACAGCCTTCAAGGTCCTTAATACCTAAGAGGAGGTCTTGAAAACCTAACAGGATTGGAAGGAATGAGAAAGAGATAAGTGGCAGGTGACTATATGGTCCCCACTATTGCTAATTCCCTACCTATATAAAGGGGCCCAGAAAAACCACTGGGATATGGTCCAGGGACCAACAAAGGATCATTCATTTGCTATCACTATAACCAGTCAGGGTTGTTAGCCAACATGGCTGAAACCAGCCCCAGACCTGTCAACTAGTCCCCAGCAACCACCACCTAGCCCCTACCCACACTGCAAACAAGTGGGGCACTAGAAACAGGACTGTCTCTCTCTCCCTAGTGTGAGAGGGTCATCCCTTTACCGGCAACCTTAAGTGTGGGTCAACTTGGGAGAATGGCAAAGGCAAATGCCCTTAACTCTGTTCCTCAATGTTGACAAAACTGATGGGAACACAAGGGAAAGAAGGGAGGAATCCCAGTGAGGGCCATTCCCTATCTGTCCTAGTGATTGATGGGGCCCAGAGGCCATCCAGGCTCCTGTGTTTTCCATCACTATGGTTGAGCCTTGGGTAACCCTAGACGTTGTAGGAGGAAGAACTGAGTTCTTTGTTGATACAGTAGCCACTTATTCTGCCCTAATTAATTTTCCTGGAACTACATTTTGGTCCTTGATCCTCATCACTAGCATAGATAGCCAACCAAAACAGGAATGATTTACTTCTCCTTTGGCATGTATCTTTGGGAAAAACATTTTCACTCATTCTTTCTTGTCTTGCCAAGTTGCTCAATCCTGCAACTTGAGGGTCAATAATGACAAAGCTCCTAACCAACCATCAGTTGTCTGAGTTTGTTTTTCCATGATTAGCCTAACTAGCCCTTGACCTCAAAAGCCCAAAGGTAATACAACCTTCCTTTCTACAACAAGTTCCTCCAAAGGTATGATATACTTCCACTCCCGGATGTACTTTGTTCACAGATCCTATAAAAACCCACCTTTAGAATCCCACTTCTTTCCCTAGGGAGCCCCAACAACCTTTAAAGTCGGAAGCTGAAATAGGCCTACATCCCCTAATACAAAACATTTTGGCCATGGGGCTACTGTGTCCTTGTAAGTCACCATGTAACATGCCCATCTTGGCACTCAAAAAAGTCAAACAGTACCTATAAAATGATGTAACATATGAAGGGTATCAATAAAGCAGTAATCCCAATACATCCCATTGTTCCCAATCCTTACACCCTACTAGGGCAACTTCCGTCTTACACTTCTTTGTTCACCACTCAAGATGTAAAAAATATATTCTTTTGCATTCTGGTATACCTGGACTCTGAATTTTCATTTGCCTTTGAATGGTGAGACTCTTCCATTTATGTTGCCAAACAATTAACCTGAAAAGTTCTACCCCAGGGAATTAGAGCTAGCTCACACCTGTTTTGACAGGCTCTTGCCAAAGATCTGTCCACCCTTCAACTTTCCCCTAATAGTGCCTTGCTTCAATAGGTTGATGACTTGTGCTATGGTTTGGCTCAGTGTCCCACCCAAATCTAATCTTTAATTGTACTCCCATAATTCCCATATGTTGTGGGAGGGACCTGGAGGGAGCTACTTTGAATCATGGGGGCAGTTTCCCCCATACTGTTCTTATGGTAGTGAATAAGTCTCACAAGATCTGATGGTTTTATCAGGAGTTTCCACTTTCATATCTTCCTCATTTTTCTCTTGCCACTGCCATGTAAGAAGTGCCTTTTGTGTCTCACCATGATTCTGAGGCCTCCCCATCCACGTGGCACTGTAAGTCCAATTAAACCTCTTTTTTTTTTCCAGTCTCAGGCTTGTCTTTATCAGCAGTGTGAAAATGAACCAATACAATAAATTAGCACCAGCAGTGGGGTATTGCTGAAAAGATACCCGAAAATGTGGAAGGGATTATGGAACTGAGTAACAGGCAGAGGCTGGAACAGTTTGGAGGCCACAGAAGAAGACAGGAGAATGTGAGAAAGCTTAGAACTTCCTAAAGACTTGTTGAATGGCTTTGACAAAAATACTGATAATGATATGAACAATGAAATCCAAGCTGAGGTGGTCTCAGATGGAGATGAGGAACTTGGGAACTGGAGCAAAGATGACTCTTGTTATGTTTTAGCAAAGAGACTGATAAGATTTTGCCCCACCCTAGAGATCTGTGGAACTTTGAACTTGACAGACATGATTTTTGTTATCTGGTGAAAGAAATTTCTAGCAGCAAAGCATTCAAGAGGTGACTTGGGTGCTTGTAAAGGCATTCAGTTTTAAAAGGGAAGAAGAGCATAAGAGTTTGGAAAATTTGCAGCCTGATAATGTGAAAGAAAAGAAAATCCCATTTTCTGAGGAGAAATTCAAGCTGGCTGCAGATATTTGCATAAGTAGAAAGGAGCTGGCTGGGTGCGGTGGCTCACACCTGTAACCCCTGCACTTTGGGAAGCTAAGGCAGGCGGATCACGAGGTCAGGAGATTGAGACCATCCTGGCCAATATAATGAAACCCCATCTCTACTAAAAATACAAAAATTAGCCAGGCGCGGTGGTGGGCACCTGTAGTCCCAGCTACTTGGGAGGCTGAGGCAGGAGAATGGTGTGAACCCAGGAGGTGGATCTAGCAGTGAGCCGAGATCGTGCCACTGCACTCCAACCTGGGTGACAGAGTGAGACTCTGTCTCAAAAAAAAAAAGAAAAAAAAAAAGGAGCTGAATGTTAATCCCCAAGACAATGGGGGAAATGTCTCAGAGACCTTTGAGGCAGCCTCTCCCACAGACCAAAAGGTTTAAGAGAGAAAAATGGTTTCATGGGCAGGGCCCAGGGTCTCCATGCTGTGTATAGCCTAGGGACTTGGTGCCCTTCATCCAAGCCACTCTAGTCATGGCTGAAAGGGGCCAATGTATAGCTTGGGCTGTGGCTTCAGAGGGTGCAAACCACTAGCCTTGGCAGCTTCCACATGGTGTTGAGCCTGCAGGTGCACAGAAGTCAATAATTAGGGTTTGGGAACCTCAGACTAGATTTCAGAAGATGTATGGAAATGCCTGGATGTCCAGGCAGAAGTTTACTGCAGGGGCATGGCTCTCATGGAGAGCCTCTGCTAGGGCAGTGCCAAAAGGAAATCTGGGGTTGGAGCCCCCACACAGTGTCCATATAGGGATAATTCCTAGTGGAGCTGTGAGAAGAGGGCCGCCATCCTCCAGAATCTAGAATGGTAGATCCACTGACAGCTTGCATCATGTGCCTGGAAAAGCCACAGACACTCAACACCAGGCCATGAAAGAAGCCAGGAGGAAGGCTGTACCTTGGTAGGCCATGGGGGCAAAGCTGCCCAAGATGATAGGAACCCACCTCTTGCATCAGTATGACCTGGATGTGAGACCTGGAGTCAAAGGAGATCATTTTGGAGCTTTAAAATTTGACCACCCCACTGGATTTCCAACTTTCATGGGCCCTGTATCCCCTTTGTTTTGGCCAATTTCGCCCATTTGGAACAGTTGTATTTACCCAATACCTGTACCTCCATTGCATCTAGGAAGCAACTAGCTTGCTTTTGTTTTTAGAGGCTCATAGGCAGAAGGACTTGCCTTCTCTCAGGTGAGACCTTGGACTGTGAACTTTTGGATTAATGCAGAAATGAATTAAGACTTTGGAGGACTGTTGGGAAAGCATGATTGGTTTTAAAATGTGAGGACATGAGATTTGAAGGGGCCAGGGGCAGAATTCTATGGTTTGGCTGTGTCCCCACACAGATCTCATCTTGAACTGTACTTCTATAATTCCCATGTGTTGTGGGAGGGACCCAGTGGGAGCTAATTTGAATCATGGGGGCGGTTTCCCCCATACTATTCTCATGGTTGTACATAAGTCTCATGAGATCTGATGTTTTCATCAGGTTTTCTACTTTTGCATCTTCCCCATTTTTCTCTTGCCACCACCATGTAAGAAGTGCCTTTTACCTCCTGCCATGATTCTGAGGCCTCCATAGCCACGTGGAACTGTAAGTCTGATTAAATCTCTCTTTCTTCCCAGCCTCAAGTATGTCTTTTTCAGCAGTGTGAAAATGAACTAATATGACCTGCTTATTTGCTGTCCACCTGAAAATACCTCAGACCTAAATACTATTAATACTCTTCAGAGATTGGCCTCCTGTGGTTATAAAATTTCTCCTTCTAAAGCTCAAACCTCCTCTCAGGAGGTTCGATTCTTGGGACTAACATTAACCCTAGAGTCCAAGAGTCTCTCAGATCACCACAAAAATCTTATTTTAAACATTTGCATTCCATCCACTCAACAGCAGCTGCAGTCCTTTCTGGAAATGGTAGGCTTGTCACACTTGGATATCCCAGTTTGGACTTTTAGCAAAACATCTTAATGAGGTGCTACAAGGACCAGAGGAGGAACCCCTATATTGGAGCCTTGAAATGGACAATACTGTGAAAACCCTCAAATAAGCAATCACCACTGACCCAGCCCTGGCCTTGCTAGATTTTAGAAAGCCTTTTTACTTCATAGAACATGAGAAAAGCAGTATTGCCCTTGGAGTTCTAACTCAGCCACTGGGACACTTTCAATGACCAATTGCTTACTTATCAGAAACCCTGAACCCAGTGGCATGGAGATAGCCTCCATGCCTCCAAGTGCTAGCATCTGTGGCTCTCCTGATTGATGTGGGGTGTATACATTTATTCCTTAACTCTGGTTCAAGGAATAACTCTACATACCCCGCATTAGGCAATGAAACTCCTAAACTTGAAGGCCTTTCACTGGATATCAGATAACTATTTGCAAGTATCAAACACACCTTCTACATGCACCAGAATTGGTGTATTAGCCCCTGCCAAACACTTAATTCTACAACCTTGTTACCAGATCCAAATGTGGAGGGACCACTTGAACATTTTGTTTTATAACCATAGATCTAAGCTGCAATGCTAAAGCAGACCTCCCGGAAACTCCAACCCCTTGGGAAACATTTTTAACCCCCTTTGCAACTACATCATAACTATAAATTGCACCAATATAAAATACATATCAGAGGGAAAACATAATTTGATACTAGTTAGAACATCAGGCCCAGCTGACCTCAATGCCCCAAATCTCCAAAATGTCACCTTTCACTTTTGCACAGGATGCCCCTCTCCAGACACTTGTCCTGACTTAACTTAATGGCAATATTGCAAGGTTGCAAATTCCTCTAATAATTGCCCACATATTCTCACACTTAGCAACCCAAAATCTTGAATGTTTCTAGACACTCAATGCTTTCATTTATTCTGTGACAACAAAACCCACGCAAATGCTAACTTTAACATCCAAGCCTTGAATCCTCTTACAAGTACTACTCTAGCTACTCAATACTTCAGAAAACCAAAACACACTCCATTTCTTCACTCTAAGTCTAATTCCATGCCTTAAATCTGAGGAAGCTTTCTTCCTCTGCAGATCAATTGCATATATTTGTCTTCCAACCAATGGGACAGCAATTTGTACACTAGTTTACTTAGCCCCAGACATCCAAATTGCTCCTTCCAATAAATCCCTCTCAATCCCGCTTTACAGTTCTAGCAGGGAAGAATGGTCAATCTATCTGATCCCTATACTCACTGGCCTAGGGATTGCTACGGATTAGGTATGGGAATAACAGGTATGAGCCTCACAGCCCATACTTGTCATACTCTCTCAGCTGAACTCTCCACCAAGGTCAAAGCATCTCTGACACCTTTGAAGTCCTGCAAGATCAGAGAGACCCCCTAGCAGCAGTTGTTCTCCAAAACCGCTGTGGCCTAAATTTGCTTACAGCAGCCCAAGGGCTCATTTGTTTAGCCCTCCAGAAAGAATGTTGTGCTTATGTTAATCAATCAGGTATCATGTCAAAAAGCTCAGGGAACAAGCCGATGGAATTGAGGAAAAAGCACCACAAGGATAATCTTCATGGACATCCACCTGGGGATGATAATCCTGGTTGCTTCCATTCTTGGGGACACTGACAGGTATGTTATTATCCCTTCTCTTCAGCCCTTGCATATTCACCTTCTGTTGGTTGTTAAATTTGTGTCTTTTTAAATTCAGTAATTTTACCTTCAAATGATACTGTGAATGGTATATCAGACTCTCCCCAGTGATGCCTGTTACCTTTACAAATCTCCCTTGGACTCATTTGGACATCACTTTTGCCTTGACATGCTCCCCCTCTTTGATGAGTCTCTCCCTCCAGCAAGATTCAATATCCTAAGTCCCACAGTTCAGGACGATGACCCACAGCATCTTCTGACAGACCAACAACCAGAAGTAGGGACAACTCTATGCCACAGGCTAGCAGGAACTAGTTGAAAGATGAGACTTTCCCCCCCATTGCCAAAGATTTGTCAGTATTGTCCTCTCAAAAAAACTGTAGAGTCCTGATAAGTAATCAACAACAAGGAAAGGGTCCCAGGTAGAGGAGAAAAATTGTTTTGAGAGACAACTAATCACAGACAACCCATTGGCACAACATCCTCTTCCCAAATACCTCATTCTGCACATAGCCCCAGCAGCATGACTTTATCTGCACACCTTATCTGCATGTGGCCCCTCCAGCATGACCCTCTAAAGCTTCTTCTTATCCCCTACCTCTTGGAAGACAGCCCCTTCTCTGCCGTGCTGGCCATTGCTCTCTTGTAACTTATCTTTGTAGTTTTACTAATTAATCTGCCTTTCTTTACCTATGACTACCTTGGTAAATTCTTTTACCACCCACATCACCAGCCCCAGCCTGTTGCCCCTACAAGAGAAAATACTTGACAAAATTCAATATTTTTTCATGATGTTCTAAATAAATTAGGCATAGAAGAAATGTACCTAAACATAATAAAGTCTGTATATGATAAACCCTCACCTAATATCATAATCAATGGTGAAAAGTTGAAAGCTTTTTCTGTAAGACAAGGAAGAGGAAAAGAATCCCTACTCTCATCACATCTATTTCAACATAGTACTGTATGTTCTAGCCACTACCATTAAGTAGAAAAAGGAATAAAAGTATCAAAGTTGGAAAAAAAGAAAAATTTTATTTTTTTGCTGATGGTGTAATCTTATATAAATAAAAGCCCTGTATAGTCCACTAAAGAAGCTAGAATTAATAAATTAATTCAGTGAAGGTGCAGGATAAAAAATCAACATGCAAAAATCAATTTTATTCTTGCATACTAGTAACTCAAAGGAAAAATAGGCCAAGGACCTAAATAGACATTTTTCAAAAGAAGACATACAAATGCCAAGAGGCATGTGAAAATTTGCTCAACGTGTTTATCAGAGAAACACAAATCAAGACCTCAAGAAAACACCCATTAAGACTGCTATTATTTAAAACACTAAAAGCTAAGAAGTTATTAGCCAGATGTGAAGAAAAAGGGACCCCTTGTACATTCTTGGTGGCAAGGTAAATTGGTACAGCCTTCATAAAAAATAGTATTGAGTTTCCTTAAAAAATTAAAATCAGAATTATCATATGATTCAACAATCCTACTTCTGAGTAAATATTTAAAAACTCAAAGAGATATCAGTACTCCCATGATTATTTCAGCATTATTCAAAATAACCAAGGTAGAATCTGAAACAGTCAAACTCACAGAAGCAGAAGATGTAATGGTAGTTGTCAGGGCTGGAGGGAGGTGGGGATTGTGATGCTTAAAAGTTATAAAGTTTCAGTTATGCAAAAGGTAAATAAATTATGGAGATTTTTACACAGCATAATGCCTATAGCTAACAATATTATGTTTATACCGAAGATGGTTAGAGGTTAAATCTTCTAAGTGTTCTTGCAAACAAAAAATAGTAATAAAGGGGGTAGGAAGAAATTTTGGAAGGTAATGGATATGTTTATGGTCTTAGTAGTAATAGTATCAAAAATGTATACTTAATTCACACTTATGGAGATATATATATTATATATGTGTCATTTTTTCATGTTAATCATACCTCAATAAAGTATAGCCTGCAGATCCTTGAATAACATAGTTTTGTTCAAATAGTTTTCTTATAAGGCTGATAAGGAAAAAAAAAATGATTCCAGGCCGGGGCCACTGTCTTTATGGGGTTTGTACGTTCTCCCTACATCAGCATGGGTTTTCTCTGGGTATTCCGGTTTCCTCCCACATTGCAGAGATGTGAACATGGGATTAATTGGCGTGTCTAAATTGTCCCGAAGAGTAAGTGTGGCAGTGAAGTGTGAGTGCTCCTGTGATGGAATGGTATTGTGTCCAGGCTCAGTTCTGCCTTAGGCCCAGAGCTGCAGGGATAGGCTCCAGTCACACATGTCTTCGAACTAGAGTGATTGGGTAAATAATTATCTTGTTTTTATTAAGCTTTCTTAAATGTATGCAGAGTTCATATTTATTTCTATGTTTAAAATCAGTAGTTTTGGGTTTTTATTTACAATTTTGGTGACTTTCTGTGACAATAAATATGCCATAGGGAATTAACTTTTCCTTATATACCAGTTAGATTATGGTAAAAGTGATTGCTGTGTGTCGTTTCTTTATTTTTTATTGTTTATTTGTTTTTGTTTTCATTTTTAGAGACAAGGTATCCATAGTTACCCAGGCTAGAGTGTGGTGGCATGAAAATGGTTCATTGCAGCCTCAAACTCCTGGGCTCAAGAGAGTCTCCCACCTGAGCCTCTGGAGTGGCTGAAACTACAGGTACACACTACCATACCCAACCAATTATTTTGTTTTGTTTTTATTTTTTGCAGAGACAGGGTCTCCCTATATTGCCTATGCTGGTCTCAAGCTTCTGACCCCAAACAATCCTGCTGGGTCTGCCTCCCAAAGCCTCCCAAAGTGCTGGGATTAAAAGCATGAGGCACCATGCCAGCCCCTCCTTCCTCCTAAAGTCATAATTTCTAAGAACCCATGGGTGACATTAAGTGAGGACTTATTGCAGTTTAAAGAAAATAAAAGTTTAAATGCCTAGACTTATAAATTCATATATATATGTATGTGTATGTATGTGTGTATATATATATATGAGAACATATATATATGAGAACATATATATGAGAACATATATATGAGAACATATATATAGAATATATATATGAGAACATATATATAGAATATATATATGAGAACATATATATGAGAACATATATATGAGAACATATATATATGAGAACATATATATATAAGAACATATATATGAGAACATATATATAAGAACATATATATATGAGAACATGTATATATATATTTCTGCAAAAACTAAAACCTCAAGCATTCTGATGCAATTGTGTTGTTTTGATCACAAATATTAGTATCTTTTTCATTGTATACAACAAAACTAAAAGTTGCCTTCCTTTGTATTTAAAAACTATGTATTTAATGGTTAATTTTGGATCCTTCTCTACCAATTATTATGAAGGGGTGATTCTTACATAGTTTTACAGCTATGAAGCCAAATAAAATGTGAGTGACTATTTACTATTTAATGATAGTTGAATTACTTAAACTGTATGAAATAGGTGTATTAGTATGTTCTCACACTGCTAATAAAGACAACCCTGAGACTAGGTAATTTATAAAGTTAACAGGTTCGATTCACAGTTCAGCATGGCTGGGGAGGCCTCACAATCATAGCAGAAGGCAAATGAGAAGCCCCAGGTGGGGACTTTGTGTGGAAGTTCCGACTCCACATATCCCTTTTGCACTGTCCTGGCAGTGGTTCTCCATGAGAGCTTCACTCCTGCAGCAAATTTCTTCCAGACATCCAGGCATTTCCACACATCCTCTGATATTTAAGTGGATGTTCCCAAACCGCAGTTCTTTACTTCTGTGCACCCACAGCCCCAACACCATGTATAAACCACCAAGGCTTGGGGCTTGCACCCTCTGAAGTAATGGCCCCTTTTAACCAGAGCGGCTGGAGCTGAAGCAACTGTGACACAGGAAACCATATCCTGAGACTGCATAGAGCAGGGGGGCCAAATTATTTTTCCCTTCTAGGCCTGGAGAGGCCTATGATGAGTGGGGCTTCTGTGAAGGTCTTTGACATGCCCTGAAGACATTTTCCCCATTGTCTTGGTGATTAACATTAGGTTCCTCATTACTTATGCAAATGTCTGCAGCTGGCTTGAATTTCCCCCCAGAAATGGGTTTTTCTTTTCTATTGCATCATTAGGTGGCAAATATTTCCAAATTTTATGCTCTGCTTCCTCTTGAACACTTTGCTGCTTAGAAATTTCTTCCACCAGATACCCTAAATCATCTCTCTCGAGTTCAAAGTTTCACAAATCCCTAGCGCAGGGGCAAAATGCCACCAGTCCCTTTGCTAAAACATGGCAAGAGTCCCCAGTGTGTGATGTTCCCCACCCTGTGTCCAAGTGTTCTCATTGTTTAATTCCCACCTATGAGTGAGAACATGCAGTGTTTGGTTTTCTGTCCTTGCGAACATGTATACATATGTAACAAACCTGCACGTTGTGCACATGTACCCTAGAACTTAAAGAATAATAATAAAAACAAAAATCATAACAAAAAAAAACATGGCAAGAGTCGCCTTTGTTCCAGTTCCCAGCAAATTCCTTATCTTGATCTGAGACTGCCTCAGTCTGAGCTTTATTGTCCATATCACTATGAGCCTTTTGGTCAAAGCCGTTCAACAAGCCTCTAGGAAGTTCAAACTTTCCTACATTTTCCTGTCTTCTGAGCCCTCCAAACTCTTCCAATCTCTGCCTCTTACCCAGTTCCAAAGTCAGTTCCACATTTTTGGGTATCCTTATAGCAGCACTCCACTCTACCAGTACCAATTTACTGTATTAGTCTGTTCTTACCCTGTTAATAAAGACATACCCAAGACTGGGTAATTTATAAAGGAAGGAGGTTTTTTGGCTCACAGTTCCACATGGCTGGGAAGGCCTCACAATCATGGCAGAAGGCGAATGTAGAGCAAAATCATGTCTTACATAGCAGCAGGCAAGAGAGCTTGGGTAGGGGATCTCCATCAGATCTCCTGAGACATATTCACTAGACTTACTCAAAACAGTATGGGGGAAAACACACTCATGAGTAAATTATTTCCATCTGGCCCCACCCTTGACACATGGGGATTATTAAAATTCAAGGGGATATTTGGGTGGGGATGCAGCCAAACTATATCATTGGGTGATAGCTATATTAAAATGACTAATCTCAAGTGAGTATTATCAAGCAACCTCCCTTAAGGAAAGTTAATCTTCCTTAAGTCCTGCCAGAACAAGGATGAATCTCTTTTGGTTGTAACTGATATCACTTACTTAAAGCCAGGTGATGAGAAATATGAGAAATATATTTCATTCTAGAGAGTGATACAATTGCAATTTTCCTTAAATGTCTTCCAATAGATGTCATAGCATTACTTTTCTTCCATCTTCAAATAATTTAATATAAAGTTAAATTAGGTCTTCACAGGTCACTATTTCTTCGTCATTTCCTCTCTTATAATGAACTGATAAGCTCAGCTTTCCCTGTGACTATGAACCAGAGCTACAATCTATTGAGATCATTAAAACCTTTGTTAGAAAAGTATAGTTCAGTGTTTATCATTAAATAATAACATTGCTTCAGAATCTTAGGTCTGTACAAGGGAGGAGAAAATATGAGAGTTAACCGTTGTTCTCAATTAGGAATGAGTATTTTTTAGTATGAAACTTTAAATTGCTAATTTTTTCATTAAATAAAATGTATATTTATACATCTTTAACACTTCTAAAACATTTAAACATGCTCTTTATAAACTAATTCTTCTCGGCAACTCTCAGAACCTTTGAATTCAGAACACTATTAGAAGAAAGGTGCTGGATGCAAAACAATGTTGCACACTTCATTCCACTCCCCAATTATCTGTGTTGCTTTTTTTCATAGTAGACACTTCTGTCAATTTTAATTTCATCTTGGCTGAAACAAAAAGTGGAGTGAAGGCTAAGCAGATGGCTCTGACAAACAGAACACAAATACAATTTATGGGAAATTTTCCAGTCTGGTAGCAGAAAAGGGAATTAGTCACCAAACTCATTTTAGTGTTCATGAATATAATGTACTAAACCCCTTGTATAATAAGTGGAAAATAATCCTATTTATAAAATCAAACAATTTATAAAACTTTTAACTGAATTGCTATATGACTGTTTGTAAACAGTAAATGTTGTTGTACTGCAATGACTTTTTTATTAATAGATAAAAAGAAAAAACATGTAACAGGATGAATTAGGAAATAAACTGTATATGCTCATTTTTGTATTGCTAGGTAGTCTTTACCTTGAACTGAACTGCGGTTCACTGAAAGACGTTTTAGGAAAAAATAATTTATATTTGTGTATTTTGGTACAGGATTTGAGTGGGGGAAACATTTGGGTTCTTGCTTTTCTTTTCACTTAGGGTAACATTAATAATGTAAATGGGTTCATCTTTTGAATACAAACTTTAGAGAAATTAAGATAAACCATTTTGTATACGTTTTTCAATTCTGGAAAAAAGTAAGAGATGTGAATAATTGGTTTTATATATTATGAGCTCTTGATACATTTCACATATTTTTGTATAGAAGGGCGTGGGTATATTGGACTGCTTCAGATATTTCTAATACTGTAAATTAGCACAAATAACTAATGCAAGATATTTAGTTCTCAAGATATCCTAAAGAAAGTTCACTATTCTTACTCTCATAAAATATGTTAATTAAAGATTTAACACAGAACAGATATAAATTTGTAAAATTATATCAAACTTAACCACAGAATCTAGGATCACTTCAAAAACAGCAGATCAGCAGGCTTACCTGAATTTTAATGAGGACCTACAGACTTCTATCTTATTTCTCCCGAAGATAAATCTAAATGAATAAATGCTGAGGAAAAAATTTTCCTCATTTATTTTAAGGAGAGTTGTGGTGTGAAGTCGTGATTCTTGATGGAAATTTAGCACTATGAATTAAATACATTTATCTTAAAAAGAGGAAATGACACAAGTATAAATTGTGTGGCTGACCTGAAGCCCTTTTAAGATACAGTAGCAAAAAATAGTATCTATATTTTAGAAACTTCATTGCATTAATTAATTTTTATAGAGGTCTATATTCAAATTTATAGGTCAGGTCAAATGTCACATTTAATTCTTCTTATCAAAACTATGAAAAGCAACATCTATATCATATAAATATATATTTATATATATATATGAAAAAGAAAGAGAGACTGAGAGGAGCACTGTCTAGAAATCATTTTGGAATATATATTATCAGTTGCAACATAAGACAACACTAACTTCTAATTTTGAGTACAAAAACTTAAACAAACACCTCCATCATGAATAATTCAAAAAATTGTTAATGTAAAAATATACATCCATTTTTAGATATATCATAATGCCAGAATAAGAAAGACTAATAATACTGAAAGGAGAGGGCCAAAGGATGGATCCAAAATTCAATTCTGCATTTAGTTTTTCTCCAGGGAGCATTGGCATTTGCCAATTTTGGGTGAAAGTGATATTGTTTGGATCTGCGTCCCCACCAAATCTCCTGTGGAATTATAATCTCCAATATTAGAGGTGGGGCCTGGAGGGAGATGATTGGATCATGGGGATGGATTTCTCATGAATGGTGTAACCCCATTCCCCCGCAGTACTGTCCTCATGAAGTGAGTGAGCTCTCATGAGATCTGGTCATTTAAAGTGTGGCACCTCCCTGCTCACTCTCTCTTGCTCCTGCTCCCACCATGTGAGACACCTCACTCCTCTTTTGCCTTCTGCCATGATTAGGAGTTTCCTGAGACCCCTACAGAAGCAGAAGCTGCTGTGCTTTCTGTACAGTCTGCAGAACTATGAGCCAATTAAAGCTCTTTTCTTTATAAATTACCCAGTCTCAGGTATTCCGTTATAGCAATGAGAGAATGGACTGATACGGCAAGTCAAGAGGCTGACAATCTAGGCATAACCAGGCATAGCTGCTATTATAGAACAGATAAACTATCAGAATTTTTGGCAGAATTGCGTGAATGGAAATATGAAAAGAATGAGCCATATGGCCAGTGTTTCTCTTAAGGTAAAGCTTTTCCATAGAACGTACATCATTTGATTGAGATGACATTTTAGTAGTCCCTTTGTACTCACCCACAAACTGGAATCTTCAAAGCCCCCTCTTTTTTCAGAAGCTGTTTTTATATTGAATCTTTGAGCATTCCATACCAAGTAGAAAATTCCTCAAGTTTGGCCTGTGTACTCTTTGGCAATTTGATATCTTTTTTGCTATTTTGCTGCCATAATAAAGTACCACAGACTGGGTGCCTTAATTTATTGTTTGACAGTTCAGAAACTAGAAGTCTGAGATCAAGGTGTGGAAAGGGTTGGTTCTTTCTGATGGACATGAGGGAGAATCTGTTCCATATATTTTCCTAAGCTTCTGGTGGTTTCCTGGCAATGGTTTTCCTTGGCATGTAAATTCATCAACCCAATTTCTGCCTTCATATTTACATGACTTTCTCCCTTGTGTGTGTCTGTCTCTGTGTCTAAATTTCCCCTTCTTATAAGGACAGCCGTTATATTAGATTACAGCTCACCCTAATTATCTGGTTTTAATCTGATTTCTGTAAAGACCCCAATTCCAAATAAGACCACATTTGGCATACTGGGGTTAGGACTTCCATGTATCTTTTTGAGAAATCACATTTCAAACTACAACAGGGTCTCTGGTTTTCAGGGACATCAGAAGTCTCTTTGACTTCTCTCCATTTCTTTCTACATGATTGGGGACACTATTAAGATCTTGCTTCTGTAGATGGTTTGGGATTATCCCCTCCTCCTTTGGTGTTTATTATAATGTTGTATCATTTATTTTTGTTGCAGAGGTTATCCGTGAGTTTTATTATGTACACTTGCTTCTACCTGTTTTGGCAGGAGAATATCATGAGATTCAATAGCCACCAACCTGCTGTTAGCCTCTGAAGTTATTTTGTAACCATACCGAACATTGAGGTTTTTTGTTTGCTTGTTTGGTTTTAAGAATTAGATTCTTTACTTAGTTCTGGAAATTTTCAGTCATTTTTTTCTTAATTCTTGTTCTTCTTCTCCAGTCTTTCCATAATTTCCTTTGGAAAATCTTTATAGCCATTGGTTGAAAATACTTAGATTATCTTTTTTGTCTGTAACTTTTTTCCTATATTTTCCTTACTTTCATTTATCCACTTTGCATGCAGATGGATTTGAAAATTTTTATCTAAATCAGGATCCTCTTTTCAGTTTGCTAAAACCATTGTTTATTTCACTATTCCATTTACCATATTTCCATTATTATTCCCAGATAACTTGTTTTAAACTTAACTCTTCTTAACTCAAAACCTTCAATAGATGTCGTTTCTACTTATAATCTGAAAACTTTAATCACAACTTAACCTCTTTTTAAGTTATTATATTCTCTTTATTTTCTTGAATGTGTTGTTTCCTGTTTTGCATCTTGGATTTACATTACATGGCACAGTATTTCTTAATGAATTTTGCAATTTCTGTTTGAAATACAAACTTTTGTGAAGAGGTTTCTATTCTTTGTTCAATAATTTTTATTAGTTACTTAATTGCAAGATATTTGACGTTCATATCTCTAAAGTAAGCCTTGTATTAACAGCTTCAGGCCAGAGGCTGGCTCTGTTTGGAATCTTTAGTGTATGCATTTGGTTCTTTTTCTGGATATAAGCAACCGTAAATTTTCTACAGACTCGTAGGTGATGGATAGAGACATTTCTTTCTTATTTTTGATTAAGAAGCATAACACCACACTCCACCTCAAACATAGAGCTCAGAGTCATTTTTCTGATATTCACGGTATATATTTGACCCCAGCATTCACTTAGACAAAAACACAAGCTTTTAATACTAGCTTTTATAGTACATTGTGACTTCAGGGAAAATGTAGAGGTTTGAATTTCATTTTAATATGCTTATGAAAGTATTTATCTTCTTTTTACACATAGACATGTACTTTAATAGTATTTTTCTAAATTTTACCTCTCTTGAATATGCTTGAGGCAGACTTTCAGGTTTCAAAATCTGTTAATGCCACCATCTTGTCTAAAAATTCCAAGAATATATTTCCAAGAATATTTCAATTCCAAGAATATTTTCATAGTTTCATAGTCATACTTTCAGAAATACAACCCCTCAGAGACCTTTCTTATATGAACATTATAAAGGTCATAGCTCAGAAATCTGGCTCCACATGAATTTTTACTAATAATTCCATAAACTTGATAACATTACTATGCTTATGAAAGACTCACTAGTAAGGAAGCAAAGGGATTTTCTTGTTAAAAGTTGATCCAGTTAACTCCAGCTCTACTATTCATCCAAAGATGAGAACAGTTTATCCTCTTATACATAAAGCACATATAAATTATTATCCTATGTCTCATTATTTCTCTTCTCAGCAAAGTTTCAGAATGGCCATGGTACTCTTGCAGTTAGTCTAAAAATTAAGTTGTCCATTTCTTCCTCCCAGGAAGACAATGAGTGTTTGAAGGCAGAGATAAAACACTAGACTTCTCAAGTAGACACTGTAGAGATAAGCAAATTTCTTTCCTCTCTAGGTCACTTGCCCAGATGGATCACCACATGCATCCTAAATATTCTTTTTATGATTAATGAGTCACTTGGCACAACCGAACATGGCTTAGTCATAGTTTCAGAAATGAAACCCCTAAGAGACCTCTCTTATATTTGAGCATTAAAAAGGTCACAGCTCAGAAATCTGTCTCTGTGTGAGTTTTCACTTATAATTTCATAAACTTGATAACATTATTAAGTTTATGAAAGTATTAGTTTGAGAATCCTGATTATAACTCATAAAATTACTTCATAATTTTTAACAGTATGATATTAAATTAAGCATATATACAGCTATTAGCTATGTATCATACAAATGTATTTTTTCATTTGATTTTTAGTGTTAAAACTAAATTTTATATAAAACATTAAAAACATTAAAATCATTTCTCCCAAAATTACATTGTGGTAAATCAATGGCAGTATCTGCCAAGGTAATCAGAAATGTCAGGTTTAAATTTAACATGCTTGAAACATTTATTTTACCATCTGCCTACCTCCCTTAGCAATATAGAAAAAAAGTAGAAGAAATCATGTGGATATCAGTGAAATACACAAGAACAGACTTTCAATAAAACATTATTTTATTGCTTCAAAAATATACTCTAGGCTAACCTTGCTCTAAGTCATGGGAGTACAAAACTGTAGGAACTCATAAGCAACAAACATACTAATATTGACCCAAAACCCACAGCATATATATCAGAATCACTGCCTAGAAGAGTAACATACAAGTTCTTTGGTTCATATTTTAGCCCTACAAAACTACTGTACCTAATCACACACTCCTGAATCACCATCCTGAAAATTCACGTTGGACATAAAATAAACCAAATTCCCTCAGCCCATAAAAAAGCAGTCATTTTGACAACTCTGACTTATTCTTACACTAATTTTCCACAAAACATGTTCTGTAAAAAATGTTTTTGTAGCGTGTTGATAGGCATTACAGAAGTTCCTCATTATCTGAATGAAATTGGCAGCAGGATAAGTACAATTAAAATAAATCCCCCACTTAGAAAATGGAATTTATTTGCACAGTAAATACCTTTAATTTCTTGATTTGCATTTATCTTACAAAATAAAACGAAAAATAATAAAAATCAGTGAAGACCATTATCTATTTAACAAAAATTAAGTTAGTTTTATAACGTGCTAATTTTATTTAAAAGTATTTTAATTTTTTACATAGTTTTTCTACCAATATTATCAAATACAATCATATCACATCCTAAACATCACATTTGAATTTTATAAAATTTATGAGGATCATTTTACAAAAGTATCTGAAAACTAATTTAATTTGTAATGTCTTCTTAATCTTCTGATATTCAAATCAGTCATTGTATTACTCACAACATTTTTATTTTGTTTGCAATGATTGCACTGTATTTGCATTGTTTAACTATACAGTACAATTGGCCATAGACTGTGCTGCTACTGTACTAGATATTTACTGGTTATCTCTCAACTTCTAACTGCTAAGCTGAGAGTCTCAGATGTTTCCCAGGCTCCCTTGCTTGGGTGCTTCCTCTGGGCATTGCCAGTAGGAAGCAGTGGTAGGAAATCACAAGGCAGAAAGGAGAAAGAAACTTCCGTCTGATGTCTAAGTATGAGTTGCTGAAGGTTGTCTTGAGACAACAAGGGTAAGATATTTACAAATTCTTGCAGCCCAGGCAGAGGCACACTTGTTCACACTCCCAGCCCTGGTCATTGTGCTCTTTTTTTGTTTTTTTTTTTTTTTGGCTCCAAATCCAAGTGTAACAATATCTCCCAATAGAGCAGCAGTTGTAGGCTTATAGATTCTAGAGTAGGAGTGGCGACAGTTCCTCATTATTAAGTTTTCTTTCTTTTTCTTCCTGTAATGACCCCTCTTTGTTCCTTTATTTTTGAAGTCCTTTCAACAACTTCGGAAATATTTCTCTGGATTAAACACCACCTATTTGAAACTAGCAGAGTGATCTCTCTTTTCTGGACTGTGGCCTCACTTAAAGAGGGACCAAAGTGTTGATTAAGATGGATGGGGATACATTCTCATGTTACGTATGGTAAACTGTTGAAGTAGCATTCATCTTTAAGTAATCAGTTTATTAGAGAATATTTTTGTGTAAGGAACACTTTTGTTTCTCTCTCAGCCAGGTACTTTTGGAACAAATGTGATGAAATCTTAGCTATCAGGGATACTCTTTAATCTGAGTAAAGATGATCGCAGTCACATCTCTGAGAAGGGTGGGTGTTATGGACTAAATTATGTCCCCCTAAAATCCCTACATTGGAACCCTAATTCCCAGTACCTCAGAATGTGACTGTATTTGGATATAGGGCCTTTACAAAGGTAATTAGGGTTACATGAATCCCTAATCCAATCTAACTGTTGTCTTTATAGAAGAGGACAGAGAGAGGCACCAGCGAGGCTCAAGCACAAACTAAAGGCCATGTGAGGACACAGTGAGATGGTTATCTGCAGGCCAAGAAGAAAGACCTCGGGAAAAACCAAGTACACCAACACCTTGATCTTGGACTATTAGCCGCCAGAATTGTGAGAAAATACGTTTGTTGTTTAAGCCACCCAGTATGTTATTCTATTATGGCAGCTCTAGCTGCCTAACACAGTGTGTCAAAGTAAGGTAAATTGGTTTTCATTTTCTTTTACAGTGCAAATGTTCATTGTGATTTTTTTCAATGAGATTTTGCCATAATTTTTCTGAATTGCTCATTCTCCTCTCTTTTATTTCCCCACCGTGCATTTCATAGACCTGGTGTTAGCAGATACACTCTCCAAATGCTGCCAGTCTTAGTTCAGGCTGCTGTAACAAATATACTATAAACTGGATGGCTTAAACAAAAGAAATTTATTTCTCATAGTTCTGGAGGCTGAAAAATCTGAGAGCAGGGTGCCAACATGGCTGGGTTGCCCTCACTTGGTGAACTGCAGAGAGAGAAAGAGGCAGAGGAAAAAAGCTGTCACGCCTCGTGCTCTTAAAGTCACTAATCCTATCATGAGAGCTTCACCCTCAGGACCTAATTATTTACCCAAAGCTTCACCTCCTGGTACCATCCCAAGGGGGTTAGAGTATCAACAGATGAATTTGGGGGGGGCACAAGCATGCAGCCCATTATACTGCCTTACACTTTTTGCTTATTTCCTCATTTTCTTCCTCTACCCCATATCCTTCAATTTCCTTAATAAGACATTTAGGACTATGACTCTTGAGCCCAAGCAGCACTGTCCATTTCTTTTATCTTTTCATAATTGTAGCTACAGACATCCTATTGAAAGTCCTAAAACATTTTTCCCAGGCAATCTCTATATCAGCCCCTCCACAAAAGTGATTTATTACTGTGAGCATGATTTCATGGCACCTTTATTTCCCCCTCAATATGCAACAAAACAAAATCAAGAATTAACAGGAAGCCTTAGAGAGAAACAAAGGACATATTGAACATAATTTTAACAATAGTTGAATTCAATTAGTATTTTCTCTGAATTATTAATATAATAAAAATTAATATTAATATTTTCTCTGATAAATTAATCCAAAATATAAAAATCCTCACAGATTTGTAAAATTTATTTATTTTCTCTGTTTTTTAGGAAAAAAAATAGTGCATTAGTTTTCTGTTGCAGTGCTACAAATTAACCCAAACCATTTTGTGGCTTAAAACCACAAACATTTATTATCACATAGCCCTGGAAGACAAGAATTTTAAAGTAGCTTAGTTGGTGAGTGGGGTTCGGGGTTTCTAATGAGGTTTTAGGCCAGCTGTTGGCCAAAGCTGCAGTCTTCCAGAGGTTTGATGTAGGGCTGGAGGATCTACTTCCTGACTCACATGGCTGTTAGTAAGATGCCTTTCTCTCTCATTAGTTGCGTTACAGAAACCTTAGTTCTTCAAAACATGAACTTCTTACTGCATGACATCCAGATTTCCCCAGAGCTCCCAACCAATCAGAGAGGAAAAGACCACACCATCTTCAATGGCCCACCCTAAGTGACACGCCATTCTGTTTGGTCATAGCGACCAGTCCTGATACAAAGTGGGAGGAGACTGATTGTACAAGGTATGGATATCAGAAGGTCAGGATTTTTCAAACATCATGGAGGCTAGCTAAAACAGATAGAGAATTCTAAAGTAAATAGTTTAATTAAATTTTGACACCAGTTACTAAAGTCTTCAGTTTTCACCATAAATATTTTATCAATATAACCTGTTTCTCAGGATTTTTAACGCTGTGAGTTTTGACATTGTCAAGGTTTCTGAGCAGTTTTAATAATTTATACTAACCACAACAATGAATATCAAGAAGGTTTTGTTCATACTTGTGGAAAAAATAGAGTGAGAAATAGGTGAGAGGTAGGTATAAATTTCTCTTGTGACACTCAGGGCTCACACATTTATTTTATATCAGGCTTTTTCTCATGTTTAAAAAAAATAGTTTGGCCAGGAGTGCTGGCATATGCCTGTAGTCAGCTACTGAGATGGAGGCTGAAGCAGGAGGATTAATTGAGCACAGGAATTTGAACCTGTAGTGTGCAATGATCACTCCTAAGACTATGCAATGCCCTCCAGCCTGGACAATATAGTGAGACCCCTCTATAAAAATACTTTTGAATTAGTGCATACTAGACTGGAAAATGAATGACAAATGTACATAGCAGATAATGCATATTAGACTGATAGTAACAATCTAAGTAATGAAATACTTAAAACAGATGAAAATATTTTCTTCATGCGATTATCCTCTATGATTTATAATGGTCAGGTAACTTCAGTGTGTCAACCTCAATTATTATAGTACTTGATAGCATTTTTCCAAATCTTGGTAAATGTCTCTTTTTTTTTTTTTTTTTTTTTTTTTTTTTTGAGATGGAGTTTTGCTCTTGTTGCCCAGGCTGGAGTGCAATGGCCCGAGTACCTGGGATTACAGGTGCCCACCACCATGCCCAGCTAATTTTTGTATTTTCAGTAGAAACGGGGTTTCACCATGCTGGCCAGGCTGGTCTCAATCTCCTGACCTTGTGATCCACTCGTCTCAGCCTCCCAAAGTGCTGGGATTACAGGCATGAGCCACCGTGCCCAGCTGGTAAATGCCTCTTTATACATGTAATTTCTCAAGCTGTACTGCAAGCCATTCTCAATTTCTGCTTTCTCCTCATTGTCTACATCCAATTAATCAGCAAATTCTGTTGATTCAACCTCCAAACGATGTAACATATCTATCTACTTTTGTCAATCAGTCCAACTCTAAAAAGGCTGCTGCACAAGCTAGGGAAAGAATGGTACCATCAGTATTCTTTCCCTAGCTTGTGCAACAGCCTTTTGTCTCCTTGCTTATGAGTTTTCTTCTCTCAAATTCAGTCTTCACTGAGGAAAAAGTCATTCTTTCAAAGAGACATACATAGATAATAATTGTCAGTGTCTTCTCATTGTGTTTAGATTAACATCTAAACTCTTTATGGTGGCCTTCAAGGTCTTATATCGTATCTTCTCTCTGGCCTCATTTTTCCTGAAGATCCAATCACACTAGTCTTCTTTCACTTGTTCAATAGCAACACATCTATTTTGTAATGCCTTAAGGTCTCCACACATGCACTGTTCTCTTTGAGAAAGCTTATTTCCCTACTCTTCCTCTGCCTGACTTTAATTTCAACTTAAATACCACGTCCTCACCGGGATTTTCTGAATAACTCTCTCTTGCTAGGTAGAGGTGAGTTCTGTTTCTAGCAACATATGTTTTAGCCAATAATCTCCCAATTTTGTTATTCTCTATTATAGCAAACCCCACTCCATTGCATTCTTTATTTATTGGTCCATTTTTCCATTGTCACTAAGAATGCACAAACTTTTTCCCCACTCCCTGCAACCTCACTGCCTGCCACATAACCTTGTATATTTTTGAATAAAGATATGAATAAATATACAACCAAAGATGCATTACCAAATTACCCAAACTGAATAACTGGAGTAATTCCTCTTCAGCAGCTGTGCTCAGAGCCCAGACATTTGACTTGTTAGTCTGACCCATTGCCTTTTTACCTGAAACTGTAGATAATGTTTATAAGCCAAGAGCTTTTCACATCATAACCAGATTCTTCCCAATTTTCACCCTCATACCAGACTCAGTTTTCAACATGGAAAGTACCTTTTGATAGCTGCAAATTATTTCAAATAATAAAAATATTTTACTAGAAGTCAAATATTTTATAAGTCAATATTCTTAATACTAACCAGACTGATAATAAAAACAAAATATAACCTTAACTTATGAAGAAAAGTTACAGATAGAACTATTTCCCTGTCTTCCAGAAGTTAGTCAGTCCCCTTAAAAGGTTTTACCCATTGGCACTAATGTTACATTTGAGCCACTAATAACATTTACAGATAACAGGGAATCCAACAAATGGAAACTAATAAAAGGTATTACCACAGTCCACCATTTATAATCCCCTTTAAAAGTCTTCAAGGTCTTTAATGCTGTATAGCAAGCCAAAAATGACACATGCTTTCATCATCTCAGAAGCAGCAGACACAGCAGGATGAAGTGTGTGCTTTATTGGTGCTTTTAGCCATGTTACTGGAGGACCCTTCTCAGACAAATGTTGCCATATTAAAGTGCCTATATCACAGTTAGTACATAAGAAATGACACAAGCCAACAAATTTAAGACAGAAATCCAAAATCTGAAAACACTTTGATTATTCGACTATTTATGACAATTTTGTCAGTTTTAAACATCACAAATAATTTATATAATAATACAAAGCAATATTAATTTTGTCTAGTCATAATGATAAAATGTTTACATTTATATTATTTGTTTCTCCCAATTCTAGCTGGATACATGATTTTAAATTTTTTGAAGCAGTAACTTCAAGTAAATAAGTTTTATATTTCTCATCCCTCGCAAATAGTTTTAATCCTAATGATACTTCAGTAGGTCCCTCCTTAATGATTTACATTTTATTGGATATGGGGAGTCTGATAATTATACTTTGCCTTAGTTTATTCTGTTAAAAATATGGCCTGATTCTCAGCCAATCAATACCTAACATTAACTGTATGTCTCTTGTGTGCCTTGCACTTTGTTAAATCCAGTATGAAATTCAGACAGGTTTATGTCGCTTTTTCTACCTTCTGGAAATGAATCAAGCAGGGATAAATCTGAGTACCTCAAAGCCTCACATTCCTTGACCACCTGGCCTCTGAAGAATCACTAGTTTCCCTTGGAAGTAATGCTGCCTTGGAGATGTCCTGAATCAAAGACAGAAACTCTAGTTTCTAAAGGCCTCCTTCAGAACAGGATGGGCATGGTGGAGTTGCCTTGAGACGGCACCTGTGATAATCCCTCTGCTTGTAACAGGTATTGTCTCAGCACAGTTCACCTTTAGATCCTTCCAGTTGCACATGGCTAGGGCTTCCATTATATTTTTTCACAAGGAGAATTCAACTGGATAGTAGAAAAGTTATAGCTAGGGAGTATGGTATCAAATGGCACTAGACTGAAATTTTGAAATAATCTTACTCTAATTTGATTTTATATTAACATATTCCATGAAATTATGATTCATGCAGTATTAAGACATAATTAGCCTGCTGTTAAGAACACTGACACCACAGAACATATATTGGTTTAAATGCTGCATTTCATATTATTTTATAGATAGCCCTCCCTACCTTAGCAGTTCTCATCTACAGAAACGATACCTAAATTATGAGACCATTTTATCACCATTATTTCAATCATATTAGCTCTTAAGTTTTGTTGCATGTTTTTCAAGTTTAAGGAAACATCTAATTATCAGAAAGAAGAAACTGTCTTTATCAATGTCTGAAATTATCAGGAAGACTTGACCCATTTAAAAAAGCTATTCCAAATTATCTATGATTTCTCTTAGAGGCTTATTAAAGATAACAACACAAACATTTGTTTACAAGTGAAATACTAGGAACATAATCAAATACGCTCCCAGGGATGCCATCCGTCAGAAAACATCTTGCACGACAAATCTCTGTGAGATTATCTGACATTGTTGTGGGTTCCCTTGATTTCTCTGATGACTAGAAACATGACATATACTGATTTGGACATATTCCTTGATTTAGATGGGAATGGTGATCTAAATTTCCTGCCTCAACAATTTCCTTATCATTGCTTTTCTACTGTTATCTTTAGGTAAAAAAACTTCAAAACCATGAGCTATTCATTTACCTGAATGAGTATTCCTTCTAAATGATTCTCTTAGCAGGACAAATGATATGAAAAATAGCATTTTAAAAGTGAAAATTGAGCCAAAAGAAAAGTCCTTTTCAGATTTTTAAGGGGAAATTTATAGGATTTGCATATTTTATTAGCATAAATCTAAATAATTGTTTTCCTAAGTGAGGATCATAGACAAGACTGTAGGAGTAGACCCCTAAGATTTCCCAGCATAACACTAGGAACTGTGAGTATAATATTTTATGTCTTGTGAATATGTTACATTTTTACTTTAAAATAAGGAAATTATTTTGGATTATCAAGCGGACTTAATTAAATTGCATGAATACTTAAAAACAGAGTTTTCTCCATCTAGTTGGAAAAGGAAAAGTCAGAGAAATTGGAAGCCTGAGATTGACAATGCTATTCTTGACATCTGATAGTGAGAACCATAAGCAAGGACTGGAGAGTGGCCTCTACGAGCTAAGAGCATACCCTGGCAGACAGTAAGTAAGAAAAGAAGAACTTTACTCCTATAAGTCATAGAGCTGAATTCTGCCAATAACTTAGATGACTCTGAAAAGGGATTCTTTCTTAGAGCCTCCAGAGCAGAGTCCATCCTGCCAACACTCTGATATCAGCAATGTGAGACCAGTAACAGAGATCCCCCAGTTGAGTCTGCCCTGCCTTCTGCCCTAGCGGACATTGAGAAAATAAATGAGTGTTGTCTTAAGCTGCTAACTTTGTAGCAACTGTCATACAGCAACAGATAACTCATACTAAGATATTTTGAATTGAATTCCTTCTTAGAAATTGTTATAGATCTAATGTAATTATCTAAAATGCCATAATTTTCATTAATTTCCTTTGGAATAAATGTAATGAATATTTTCTCTATATTATCAAATTAAAACAATATCCATTACTTAAGATATCTAGGATATTTCAGTTTGTAGACCTTCAATAATTATGTTAATGTGTGTTGGTCAAGTGTAAAGTAAGCAATAATGTAATATGAGTGGTGGCTATAAAACATCATGTTTCAACTTTTAACAAATATTAAAAATGAAACTTTTTCATTTTGAAAGCTTCAGCTTTTTAATTTTGTCACCCCTGGTTTCCACTTTACGTCTAAGCTCAGATAAATTACATAAAATGGCCCTTATAAAGTCAATTCAAATTGTTTTTTATTTTTTAAATTCTGGTATAAAACATAATTTCATAAGAAAAGCACTACAATATAGAGTATATATTTACTCTAATCTTTCTAGAATTTGAGTAAATCAATTTCAAAATCATGTACATCAGGCAGCACTGTTTATTATGTATTAACTCAATTCTAATATTACTTCTGTGGTGCCATTAACGTCTTTTGAAAATCAGTTTGAATTATAAATTACGTGTAGTGAAAATAAATTTACTTTGAAAAAAAATCATCTGTTTCATTCACAGTAGTGTTAATCTATTTCCTATCCCTCATTTAGTTCTTCAAAGGTCCTTTGTCCTTTGTTTCTCAGATTCAAGTATCTTTAATATTGGAGAATTGATGATATAATGGCTCAGAAACCTTAGTGAGACACATATCACTTTTTAAATAATTATTATAGATTTCTAGGTCCATGAAAGACCATTTAAAACTTTTATCCCATTGGATTAGTATTTTTAAATGTTTGAATCATCAAATCAAATAATTAGTTCATTGTATCTTGTAACTAGTGCATAAATGATTATTTCTTTTTCTATACTGTCTTTCAAACTAGAGTAATCTTTGGTGAGGTTAGGAAGTGCCTACCTAGACAGCATAATTTTAGGAATGTTTTATTACTCCTAAATATTTCTACTGTCTCCACAATTCCCACATAACCCCTCTTTCTAGAGGAGTTTTTCTTGGAGAGATATAAAATGCCATTTATTTATTTATCCATTCACTTATCTATTCATTCTCTCAATAAATATTTATTGAGCATTTGTAAAGTTTGCTGAGGCTAAATTACTGAATGAGAAATCTTTGCTGCATTTTGAAGATAATGAAAATGATTATAATAAACTTGTAAGTGTGCTAACTTGACAGACGAAAAATGAGTAATATGGGAACATTAATATTGTCTGAAAATATTAGGACAGCCTTCCATAAGATGTGAAATTTCAGGAGAATGCTGAAAAACAAAATAAGTTTGATAAGTGAATTGAAGACTAATTACATTTATTTCTTTGAACTTTCTTGGGGTTTCAAAAGGCAAACTTATGTGTGCTTCTGCACATAAATAGGGGAAGTTAGATAAGTTATAATACCTTTGAAGAATAGGAAGTTTGGTGCCTTTGGGGAATACACAAAGCAATTTGGTCCATGTGGATGGAGTGTAGAGTGTAAAACTGAATTTGAGGTTAAAATAAGACATGAGCCATATTAAAAGGGATCTTGCCAGTTTAAGATTCGAGTATAGATTTTATGCATATTATTTAATAATTTATTTTCAGATTTTACCTCTTTAGATTCTTATCACAGTGTTTAATATTACAAAATAAAATTTTTCATGATGTAGAAAATTTTGGGGAGTTATGATAAATATAACCCTGAGGAGAAAAATTATTTTTAATACTTTCTGGAAATTTTTCTTCATATTCACATTAATTAATTTATCTATTAAATACTGTATTATGCCACAAATGACAGAGTAGTTTGTATTGGAATGATCTTTCCATAAATAGAAATTGTAAAATCAATCATCATGGCAGATGGGAGGCAGGACTAGACTGCAGCTCCAGACAGAGCAGCATGCAGTAGCTTGCACTGTGAATTTTAGCTCCAGGTGGACTGCAAGAACAAACCAGCAATCCCGAGAGGACCCACAGACCCTCTGAAGGAAGTGGACTGCTCCTGCAGGACCCAGAACACACTCCAAATACTGTGTGTGCCCCAATTGTGGAAGTGGGAAAGGCAGACCCTCCTCTCCAGAACACACAACCCAACTGGAGAAGCTGAAGTTGTTTGTGGGAGAAGTTTCTGACCTCACTTGGACCTGAGCCAAATAAGAGAGCCGAGTGAAATACAGGAATAGAGGAAGCAGCTGAAGGGCCCTGGGAGCTCGCTGTGTCCCCTAGCAGGCCATTCCTGCCTGGCACCACAGGGATCCATTGGGTGGCTGACCAGAGGAGCAGGGGCAAAACTCTACAGGGATAAAGAAATCTCTAGCTGAATTTTGTAACAATTTGAATGGGGTAAGAAGCCTCCCGGCCAGAACTCCAGGGAGGGGGGCAGATCTGGTGTGCAGTCTCCACAGGCCGGGGAAGAAACAAGCCCTTTTCTCTCACAGCTGGGAGGCGGGTAGCCCAGGGCAAGTTTTCAACCCCATCACACCCTCCACCTGGAAACAGACTAGGGGCTGTTGAGGGTGTCATGGTGGGAGTGAGACTGGCCCTTCATTTTGTGTGGAAGCTCTGTGAGAGACTGGCCCTTCATTTTCTGTGGGAGCTGTGTGAGGCCTGTGACTGCCGACTTTCCCCCACTTCCCTGACAACCTACATGACTCAGCAGAGGCTGCCATAATCCTCCTAGATACACAACTCCAGTGACCTGGGAATCTCACTCCATCCCCCACAGCAGCAGCAGCAGCAAGACCCGCCCAAGGAGAGTCTGAACTCAGACACATAGCCCATCCCCACCTGATGGTCCTTCCCTATCCACCATGGTAGCAGAAGACAAAAGGCATACAATCTTGGGAGTTCTGGGCCCCACCCACTGCTGGTCCCTCTCTGTACTACTACAGCCGATGCTTTCTGGAAAGCTCCACCTCCTGGTAGGAGGCAAACCAGCACACACAAAAATAGAGCATTAAACCGCCAAACCTAAAAACTCTCACAGAGTCCATTGCACCCACCCCCTGCTACCTCCACTGGAACAGGTGCTGGTATCCACAGCTGAGAGACCCATAGACCATTCATATCACAAGACTCTGTGCAGACAATTCCCAGTACTAGCCCAGAGCTGGGTAGACTTGCTGAGTGGCTAGACCCAGAAGAGAGACAATAATCAGTGCAGTTTGGCTCACAGGAAGCCACATCCATAGGGAAAGAGGAAGAGTACTACATCAAGGGAACAGCCCGTGGGATGAAAGAATCTGAACAAGAGCCTTCACCCCTAGAACTTCCCTCTGACAGAGCCTACCCAAATGAGACGGAACCAGAAAACCAACCCTGGTAATATGACACAACAAAGTTCTTCAACAACCCCAAAAATCACACTAGATCACCAGCAGTGGATCCAAGCCAAGAAGAAATCCCTGATTTAACTGAAAAAGAAGTCAGGAGGTTAGTTATTAAGCTAATCAGGGAGGGACCAGAGAAAGGCAAAGCCCAGTGCAAGGAAATCCAAAAAATGATGGAAGAAGTGAAGGGAGAAATATTCAAGGAAACAGATAGCTTAAAGAAAAAACAAAAAATTCAGGGAACTTTGGACACACTTTTAGAAATGAGAAATGCTCTGGAAAATCTCAGCAATAGAATTGAACAAGCAGAAGAAAGAAATTCAGAGTTTGAAGACAAGGTCTTCAAGTTAACCCAATCCAACAAAGACAAAGAAAAAAGAATAAGGAGATATGAACAGAGTCTCCAGGAAGTCTGGGATTGTGTTAAATGACAAAACTTAAGAATAGTTGGTGTTCCTGAGGAAGAAGAGAATTCTAAAAGCTTGGAAAACATATTCTGGGGAAGAATTGAGGAAAACTCCCCCAACCTTGCTAGAGACCTAGACATCCAAATACAAGAAGCACAAAGAACACCTGGGAAATTCATCACAATAAGTTCTGCACCTAGGCACATTGTCATCAGGTTATCCAAAGTTGGGACGAAGGAAAGAATTTTAAGAGCTGTGAGACAGAAGCACCAAGTAACCTATAAAGGAAAACCTATCAGATTAACAGCAGATTTCTCAGAAGAAACCCTGCAAGCTAGAAGAGATTGGGGCCCTATCTTCAGCCTCCTCCAATGAAACAATTATCACCCAAGAATTTTGTATCCAGCGAAACTAAACATCATATGTGAAGGAAAGATACAGTCGTTTTCAGACAAACAAATGCTGAGAGAATTTGCCATTACCAAGCCACCACTACAAGAACTGCTAAAAGGAGCTCTAAATCTTGAAACAAATCCTGGAAACATATCAAAATAGAACCTCTTTAAAGCATAAACCACAAAAGACTATAAAACAAAATTACATGTTAAAAAGCAAAAACAAAAGACAAAAGTACACGGCAACAAAAAGCACAATGA
This sequence comes from Homo sapiens, assembly GCF_000001405.40. NCBI lineage: Eukaryota > Metazoa > Chordata > Mammalia > Primates > Hominidae > Homo > Homo sapiens. The sequence goes on along the minus strand of NC_000004.12, from coordinate 91,745,221 downwards.
ATGCAACAGTACCTCACATTTCAATACTAACATTGAATGTAAATGGCCTAAATGCTCCACTTAAAAGATACAGAACTGCAGAATGGATAAGAACTCACCAACCAACTACCTGCTGTCTTCAGGAGGCTCACCTTACACATAAGGATTCAAGTAAACGTAAAGTAAAGCAGTGGAAAAAGGCATTTTATGCAAATGAACACCAAAAGTGAGCAGGGAAAGCTATTCTTGTATCAGACAAAACAAATTTTAAAGCAACAACAGTTAAAAAAGACAAAGAGGGGCTGGGCACGATGTCTCATGCCTGTAATCCCAGCACTTTGGGAGGCTGAGGTGGGCGGATCACCTGATATGGGGAGTTCCAGACCAGCCTGACCAACATAGAGAAATCCTGTCTCTACTAAAGATACAAAATTAGCCAGGCATGGTGGTGCATGCCTGTAATCCCAGCTACTCAGGAGGCTGAGGCAGGAGAATTGCTTGAACCCGGGAAGCAGAGGTTGTGGTGAGCCGAGATTGTGCCATTGCACTCCAGCCTGGGCAGCAAGAGCAAAACTCCGTCTCAAAAAAAAGAGAGACAAAGAGGGACATTATATAATGGTAAAAGGCCTTGTCCAGCAGGAAAAAATCACAACCCTAAATATATACACACCTAACATTGGAGCTCCCAAATTTATAAAACAATTACTGAAAGACTTAAGAAATGAGATAGCAACACAATAATAGTGCGGGACTTCAATACTCCACTGACAGCGCTAGACAGGCCATCAAGACAGAAAGTCAATAAAGAAACAATGGATTTAAACTATACCTTGGAATAAATGGACTTAACAGGTATGTAGAGAACATTTCATCCAACAACCACAGAATACACATTCTATTCAACAGCACATGAAACTTTCTCCAAGATAGGCCATATTATAGGCCATAAAATGAGCCTCAATAAATTTAAGAAAATTGAAATTATATCAAGCACTCTCTGAGACCACAGTGGAATAAAACTGGAAAATCAACTCCGTAGGAAACCTTCAGAACCATGCAAATACATGGAAATTACATAACCTGCTCCTGAATGAGCAACAGGCCAAAAACAAAATCAAGATGGAAATTAAATCGAACTGAATGACAATAATGACACAACCTATCAAAACCTCTGGGATACAGCAAAGGCAGTACTAAGAGGAAAGTTCATAACCCTTAGTGCCTACATCAAAAAGACCAAAAGGGCACAAACTGACATTCTAAGGTCACACCTTAAGGAACTGGAGAAACAAGAACAAGCCAAACCCAAACCCAGCAGAAGAAAGGAAATAACCAAGATCAGAGCAGAGCTAAATGAAATAGAAACAAATAAACAAACAAAAAATACAAAAGATAAATGAAACAAAATGCTGCTTCTTTGAAAAGATAAATAAAATTGATAGACCATTAGCAAGATTAACCAAGAAAAGAAGAGAGAAAATCCAAATAATCTCACTGTGAAATCAAACAGGAGATATTACAGCTGACACCACTGAAATACAAAAGATCATTCACAGCTGCTATGAACACCTTTACACACATAAACTAGAAAACCTAGAAAAGATGTATAAATTCCTGGAAAAAAAAAACCCTTCTAGCATAACTCAGGAAAAATTAGATACCCTGAACACATCAATAACAAGCAGCGAGATTTAAATGCTAATTTAAAAATTACTGGCCGGGCGCAGTGGCTCACGCCTGTAATCCCAGCACTCTGAGAGGCTGAGGCAGGCAGATCACGAGGTCAGAAGATCAAGACCATCCTGGCTAACATGGTGAAACCCCGTCTCTATTAAAAATACAAAAAAATTTGCCAGAGGTGGTGGTGGGCGCCTGTAGTCCCAGCTACTCAGGAGGCTGAGGCAGGAGAATCACTTGAACCCAGGAGGCGGAGGTTGCAGTGAGCCAAGATTGCACCACTGCACTCCAGCCTGGGCTACAGAGCGAGACTCTGCCTCAAAAAAAAAAAAAAAAAAAAAATTACCAACAAAAAAAAGTCCAGGATCATATGGATTAACAGCAGAATTCTACCAGATATTCAAAGAATTGGTACCAATCCATCTGACACTATTTCACAAGAGAGAGAAAGAAGGAACCCTCCCTAATTCATTTTATAAAGCCAGCATCACCCTAATACCAAAACCAGGAAAGGACATAACTAAAAAAGAAAACTAAAGACCAAAATCATTGATGCTAAAAGTAGAACTACCGTTTGATCCAGCAACTCTACTACTGGGTATCTACCCAAAGGAAAAGAAATCATTATTCAAAAAAATACTTGCACATGCATGTTTACGGTGGCACAATTCACAATAGCAAAATCATGGAACCAACCCACGTGCCCATCATACAATGAGTGGATAAAGAAACTGTGGTATATATGTATGATGGAATACTATGGAGTAATAAAAAGGAATTAATTAACAGCATTTTCAGTGACCAGGATGAGATTGGAGACTATAATTCTAAGTGAATTAGCTCAGGAATGGAAAACCAAACATCATGTGTTCTCACTGATATGTGGGAACAAAGCTATGAGGATGCAAAGGCATAAGAATGATACAATGGATTTGGGGACTTGCGGGGAAGAGTGGAAGAGGGGCGAGGGATAAAAGACTACAAATATGGTGCAGTGTATACTGCTCAGGTGATGAGTGCACCAAAATCTCACAAATCACCACTAAAGAACTTACTCATGTAACCAAATGCTACCCCATTTTAACCAAACCCCAAATAACTTATGAGAACAAACTTAATTAATTCATTAATTTAAAAAAGAAATTGTAAAATCAGGACTAAATATTTTTTCTAATATTAGCTGGAACTCAAGAAAAAAGCCACAGTATTATTGATTTGGAGACAATGAATGAAGGTTACTGTTGCCTGGGTAGCTAGCATGTGAGTAAAAATGTATTAGAAATGAAAGCGCTCTGAGACGGTGACCCCAAATAACTGAGTACAAATTTCTATCCAAATATTTGGCTGATGTATGAATTAGGCATACTCTACAAAGCTTTTCACCAGAGGCCTGTTGTTTCAGCTGACTGGCTGAAAGAATTCAATGGAGATTTTGGCTGCTGCCCCCATCATGGAGAGACAGTTTAGAATATGAGCCCACTGAAGGTAATTGCCTCTTACAACAAAAATTAATACTTTTCAGAGGAGGATAACAAAATCCAGCCTCTACAATATATCTTCCACAATGTCCAGTATACCATGGAGAGGCTGAGGTGGGCGGATCACGAGGTCAGGAGATCGAGACCATCCTGGCTAATGTGGTGAAACCCCGTCTCTACTAAAAATATAAAAATTAGCCAGGCGTGGTGGCGAGCACCTGTAGTCCCAGCTACTCCTGAGGCTGAGGCAGGAGAATGGCGTGAACCCTGGAGGTGGAGCTTGCAGTAAACCAAGATTGCGCCACTGCACTCCAGCCTGGGCGACAGAGCGAGATTCGTTCTCAAAAAAAAAAAAAAAAAAAAAAAGATTAGTTATGAAAGAAATTATAAAATGTGACAGAATAGAAAGAATATGCTGCTATTAGAAACAAACCTTTATATGTATTGTTATCAAAGAAGTTGGAGGTTTAAATCAGATTAGGAGGCAGGAACATTATTTCAGCTAATAGAAATACGTTCAAAAACTCACACCAATAGATAAACCCAACTAATCTCATCTGTTGCCACATAATATTTGTTTTATGTCTATAGAAACCAGACAATGTTGTTTGGTACAAATATATATTTATTTATGTAAATTGAATTAGTTATGTATCACATTGCTATTTGCTACTTTGAATAAACAAAAATGTTTTCATAGTAATAATTGGAGCCATGTGTACATCTATTAAAAACTTCAAACTTTTCACTCTCACATTTTATCTCACCTCTCTCCCACGGATGGCCACATTGGTTGTGTCGCCATCACAATGACAAAATGTGCATCCTAGTGAAGCAGGATATTTCCCTGACCCCTTCGTTAGAATTGCAACAAGGGTGCCTTGTTTACCCAGCCTGCAGCTTTCAACTCTTCAAAGGACGGAGCATGCAAGTGAACAAGGCAGGAACTGGAGTGCATGAATGCAGGAATCAGCCAGCTGCTTCGGACCCACTGCATTCTACCCCTTGCTGGAGGAAGTGTGCAGGTGAGCGGGTGCAGGAGCCAGGGCAAGCGCTTTTGGGCACCAGAAGGAGCAAACTCCTTTTGGGCCCCATGGAAGCGTCTAGGGGAGTGCCTGTAACCCCTGAAGCCCCAGAGGTGGTGTTACAGTGCTCTTTTAGCTCTGGTGTCCACAGATGACTTAAGTGTTAACAGCTCAGTGGACCCTCTGCCTTTTCGTGTGAGGCGACTGTCTTCCTCCAGCAAGTGTAAAAGGCCAATGTGATAGCCTTTTGTATCCACAGCCGTGGCTCCTGAGCTCTTGTCCGGTGTCCAGGAGAAATGAGGTTACACTAATGAAGTGCAGGAGATGTTATTGCCAATGAAAGTGGCTCTCAGCGAGAATGGGAGCTGAAAAGAAAATGGGACAAGAAGGTAGTCTTCCTCTGAAGTCCGGCCATCTCCAGCTGGATTCTTCTCCGAAATTACGCCATCAATCTGTCCCTCTGAAGTCAAGTTGCTTCTCTCCGACTTCCAGCCATAGTTTCCGACGTTCAGCTGCCTCTCCTGTCTCTGCCGGCTGAGTCTGGAGTTTGTATAGTCACAGGATGGAAGGAGGGGCAGGGCCATAAGTGGTTTTGGAAAAGACAACATTTGATCAGGAAAACAGGGATGATAAGTTTTCACTTTGGGCAGTGGTGTCAGGCTTTTTGGCTTGGGGTGGGGCTTTGCCAGGGACCCACTCTGTCTGACTAGAATTTCTCTGCCCCGTCTTTATTACTGGTATGTGCCTTTTATGGCCCTATGTGATCATTTCTTGGGATATATACCCAAGAGTAGACTTCTGTGCCATAAAATATGTAAATACTACATGTGAGTTGTGTTTTATAGTTCTGCAGAATGGCTGCAGCAATCCGCACTCTTACCAGCATCACGTGACTTCCTATATTCTAGTATTTTCACCAATACTTGGCATTACCCAGCTCTCTATTTTGTGTCTAATACACAAAAGTAAAATTTCATTATAGATGAAATTTACAATTAATTTGAGCATTTATTCATCTGCATGTTAGCCTTCAGGATTTCCTTTTCCATAAATTAGCTATTCATAACATTTGCCAATTTTTCTGACAGTTGAAATTTTCAGTTTAATTTGTAGAAGCAACACAAATATTCTGTTTTAGACATTGCAAATATTATCCCCAGTTGATCGTCTGCCAAATAAATTAGTCTATGCTATACTGTGTTGAATATAAAATCTTTTCTTACATAATCTTCTGTAAGCTTCTAAAAAATTTGTAGACACAAAGGAATCATAAGTAGATTAACATGTACATTATCTCCTTTAAATATCTCTGTCATTTTCATTTCCCATATTTTGATTTAAACTTTTTTTTATAATGCCTTATTATTTATTTCTGAAATTTAATTTTTGAAGTTCTTCTCCACTCCAGGTCACAAAGATATTCTAAAGTTTCTTCTACTAATTTGGTAGTTTTACCTTTCATTTTTGCCTTTAATTAATCAGAAGTCAGTTTTTTACATCCAGTTATTTCTACTCAAACTAAGAAATGTTGAAGGCAATCTATTTTGTCCTAAGTTTAACTACCAGTTTTTATTGCCAGTCATGAGTCGGATACAGGTTGTCCTCCAAGAGGCTGGATCAGTTCCCCTTCCTTCTAAATCTTTTGAAGTAAGCTGTCTGATGAATCAACAATTGTCCACAACATTGTCTTCTGATGGATATGAAATATATCAAAAATATCTCTATGTGGATAACGTAGTGTATGTATTTTTTGATTTCCCGCTTTTTTCATACTGCATATAAAGCATCTAATAGTGAATGCTTCATAATAAGGTGTAGCCACACTAAGAAACAAACAAAACAAAAAGAATGACCAAAAGAAACTAATTCTAGGATCATGGAACAACTATCTAACTTTACCTTTCCTTCAGTATAGTTCCAACTCTTTCTCTACTGTATAAACATAATTTTTGTTTGTTTGTTTGTTTGCTTTTGCTTTTGCTTTTGTTTTTGAGATGGAGTCTTCCTCTGTCACCAGGCTGGAGTGCTGTTGTGCAATCTTGGCTCACTGCAACTTCTTCCTCCTGGGTTCAAGCAATTCCCCTGCTTCAGCCTCCTGAGTCACTGGGCCTACATGCACATGTACCATGCCTGGCTAATTTTTTGTATTTTAGTAGAGACAGGGTTTCACCATGTTGGCCTGGATGGTCTTGATCTCCTGACCTCATGATCTGCCTGCCTTGGCCTCCTAAAGTGCTGGAATTACAGGCGTGAACCACTGAACCTGGCCAAAACCATAATTTATTATATAAATGTTTACTAACTAAAGAAGAAAGTTCATATGTAACACTTTCAGGGATTTTTCAGTGTGAAAGGATTCAACCAGATCCTAATTTCATTATTCCTATACTGATTTTCTATTATGTTCAAATTCTATATATCTATGGTAGTAATAATATTTTGAAATGTTATCTTTAATCACATATGTTTTGTTTCATCACATGTCAAAAATACTTTCACTTTTTAAAGTATTATTTTAAATTCTATGACACATTACACTTAGAATTTTCCCTTAGATGAAGATTGATGAAGTAAATGAGATAGTTTAAAGCACAGAAAATATTCCATGTGATAAAAAAAAGAGAACGTTTTTCTTACATGATCTTCTGTAAGCTTCTAAAAAAAGATTTGTAGAAACAAAGGAATCGTAAGTAGGTTATCATGTACATTATCTCCAGTTGCAATTTTCTTTAAATATCACTGTCATTTTCATTTCCCATATTAATTTAAAATTATATGAAAATTCTTTGATTTAGCATTATCTTTTTATGTTTTCTGTTTCTCTCAATCTTCACCCCTCTCTTTTCTTTTCTCCCTTTTGTAAGTTTAAAATAAAATTTTAATAGATAAAGTTTAGAGTAAGATATATGGATTCAACATCATATTATCATGATAATTCTCTGAACCATGTTGCAGGAAAATATTTTGAAATAAATACCAGTCTGTTGAAATTGAGATTTCAGTGGCAAGAACACCATAAAAAGAGTTTTTTTCCACATAGTTTTACATTCCTGGTTGAAAGCTTAAAATGGCAAAATAATAGTTTAACTCTGTTTTTTGAAAATGCAAATACAGCTTAACTTAAGGATCAATGGCTAACACACTAATACTAAGGATTCCATTTGTGATGAGACACAATTTAATGATGATGCTAATTTACCAAGGTTTCTAAACCTTATGTAGAAAGAAAATAGGAAAACAAATGGCCTTAGGCACTCTGAGAATGTACATGATCAATTTTCAGATAGTCACCCATGAAAAATGAAATGGTTTTCATTGCAGCACGTACAAATACCAACGATATTTAAGAACATCATTCCTTCAAAACACATTTAAAATACATCAACAAAAATAATGGCAGAACTGCATCTATTAATGAAGCTTATGATATTTTTCCTGATGCCATTGAATTTCAGTGGTTCTTATTATCTGTGTAAGAAAATATTGTAACTATTCTAATTATCCCAGTTTTATCTCAAATTAATAATAATCAAAATGACTATGAATGATTTAGACTGCATGACAGAAGAAACCATGGTGATAAAATTTTGGTGCTAATGCATTGTACAGATCAGAATTTTCTGGAGCTATGTGTAGAAAGGCCAATTAATGAGAAATAAGGATAATGCATTTGAACTTAGACGTTCATAAATATTCTCCCTGAACAGCAGTAGGAATTTTTGGAGGGAGCATCTAAACTGTAGACAATGCTCCAAATATAATCAGGGCTTAGAAATCTAACTATAGAATATTGCTCAAATTTCTATGTTGAATTGAATTTCTAGGGTGGAATTTAATATAGTCAAATGGTTATGGCCATGTTAAAAACAAACAAACAAAAACACCAAATCAAATGTGCTAAATGTGCTACCCACTTAAGGAAAGAAATTTTGCATCTCCTAACTGTTGAAGTTACCCTTCAATATGTGTAATAGCCCTATCTCCTGTAGACCTTTGATTTCAAATTCAGACAGTTCATGAAAACCTTTCTTTAGCATTGACTAGGATTTCTTTTATCAAAATCAGTTGGTCCTACATCTTTTCAAAGAAATGGCAAACAAATGCAAAACATGTTTGTGTTCTTTTCCTATGTGGAGTATAAACTTGTTGTCTTATTTTGTACAGAATACTTGAGACTGGTAATTTATAAAAGAAACAAATTTATTTTTTACAGTTCTGGAGGCTATGTCCAGGAGCATGGTGTTGGCATCTTGTCAGGGCCTTCCTGCTGTGACATAACATGATACAGGGAATCACATAACAAGAGGACAAGAACATGTTAGCCTAGGTCATTCTTCCTCCTCTTATAAAGCTGCCAGTCCCATGTGGGAGCCCCACCCTGATGACCTTATCTAATTCTAAATACCTCCCAAAGGCCCCACCTCCAAATATCATCAACATATGAATTTGGGGATTAAGTTTCAAACACATAAAATTTGTGGGACACATTCAAACCATAGCATTTGCTCAATATTCTTTTCAATCTCCTTAAAATTTGAATTCTGAATCCAGTTCTACCAATTCAGAATTAAGGTATGTGAAAGAGAGAAAGGGTGAAGAATATTTATTTTACTAAATTTGGTCCAAACAGTTATGGAATAGTTCTGAAGTTAGAAGCTTCCTGAATCCACAGCTTACTACAGCAATGACATTATTTTTCTAGATCACATGTCTGGCTGCAATGGTGATAGCCTCACTCTCTTGCATAGGTTGTTCCTAAAGTAGCAGCAGCAGCTTTCCCATATGTGGCAGTAGCAAAAGGACTGGCTTAACTTAGCTTCAAGTAAGTTCAGTCTAGAACTTGCTCCTCTAGCCCCTTCAATAATTTTATATCCTCCTATTAATACTTTCTGCATAATCTAAACCACACAGTGGTATGAAAAATGTTTGTGGCCACTCAGCTTTAGAAAAAGAAGAAGCTGTGGTTGCTTCTTTGATCTGATTGGTTTGATACTAATGAAAATCAAGTTAATATTAGCAGATGGGACATAATTTTATGATATCATATCACAGACCAGGGAATCAATTACTTACAGTAACAACTGCTAGTTGGTATGAAATACCTATTGAAGTCAAGGTTTTGATGGATCATGAGGCTACCAAAATAGAATAAGATTGACAATGAATATACTGACTCTGTGTTTGGAAGCTTCTTATGATTGTGCTATAGAGCTTAAAGAAAGAAAGTCATATCTTTATGTTTCAATCCTAAGAAAGTTCAAAAAAGCAGGGAGTTTCTATGACCACCTAAAAATAATTTCTTAAATATTTTGATCAAAACTATTTTAATATTTACAATAAAGTTGATAATAGTGTTCCAGTTTTGGCTTACTAAGAGAAGTCATGGAGATGGAATTTCAAACTCCTAAATTATCTCTTTAATATCGGTGCTAAGTATTGTATAGGATACCTTAATTTGGAGTAATCAGACTGGGAATATGTATGATGAGCTTCTTAGTGTAATTTTTACTAAAACTACACAATAATTCTTAATACAAGGATGCTCACGAATCCGAAGTCTTATTTGGAAAACAAAAAGAAGACAGTTTGGATTAGACTAGCCTCCAAATGTTTCCTGATATCAATAGATTCCAAAGTTTGATTAGTAGCTTTTTCCAAAAAAGGTTATCAGAATTTCATTACAAGTACAGCTTTATTACCAGATATCTGCAGTAAACATATATTCAGACATATTTTTGTTTGCTTCACTTTATTTATTTATTTTACATAAAATTTGCCATTTTCCTCATTACCAAGGGTAAAATTTAGTGGCATTAATTACATTCACAATGTTATGCAAACGTCACCACTATCAATTTGTCAAAATATTTCATGACTTAAAATGGAAACTTTGTCCGCATTAAGTGAAAACTCATTATGATATCCTCTTCTAAACCTCTTGCAGCATCCAGTCTACTCTCTGTCTTTATGAATTTAACTAATTCTAGATATTTCATATAAGCAGAATAATATAATATCTGTCTTCTTGTGTTTGGCTGTTTTCACTCAACACAGTGTTTTCTAGGTACATCTTCGTTGTAGCATATATCAGAATTTCATTCCTTTTTATTGCTTAACAATGTTGCATTGTATGTATATACTTCATTTTCTTTATCTGTTGATGGACACTTGGGTTGCTTCCACCTTGTGGCTATGGGGAGTAATCATTCTATAAATGTTCATTGCATACACTTAGAAGTAAAACTACAGGATACCTTGGTGGTTTTATGTTTAACTTTTTGGGGAGCCACCAAATTGTTTTCCACATTGACTAAACCATTTTATATTCCCTCCAGAAATTTATGAGGGTTACAATTTCTCCTCATCCTCACCAACACTAGTTTATTTTTTTCTTTAATTTTACTGTCATACAAATCAGTGTAATGTGATACTTCATTGTGGCTTTGATTCACTTTTCTCTAATTACTAATGATGGTGACAGTCTTTTTTTGTGCTTTTTGGCCATTTATATATCTTGTTTGGGAAGTGTCTATTTAAGGACTTTGCCCATTTTTTAATGGTGTTGCCTTTGTGTTTTGACTTATAAATGTATTTATATATTCTAGATACTAGGCCTTTATTATATAAGTAATTTACAAATATTTTCTTCCATTCTACAGGTTGCTTTTTTTCTTTGTAGATAATGTATTTTAATATCCAGAGATTTTTAATTTTTGTAGAATCTGTTTTTTTGTTGTTGTTTATGTATTTGGTATTATGTCTAACAATTTATTCCCAAATTCTAGGCCATGAGGGTTTACCCCCATGTCTTCGTCTTGGAGTTTTATAGATTTAGCTCTTACATATAGGCTGCTGATCCATTTTGAGTTAATTTTGTGTGGGGTGTAAAGTAGGAGTCCAGCTTCATATTTTTCATGTTAACATCCAGTTGTCTAGCCTATAGTTAACAAACTTTGTTAGGTTTTGTTTTATCTAGAAATGTCTTATTTTTCCCCTCATTTGTGGAAGACAGATTTTCAAGATGTAGAATTGTTTTTTGACTTCTTTTTGTTCCCTTAGCACTTTAAATACATTTAAAGTGTATTTAGCACTTTAAATACATTCATTACCTTCTGGCCTTCATACATCTCAGGATAAATCTGCCATTAATCTTATTGCAACTTCTTTGTACATGAGGAATGCTTTTTTTTTTTTTTTTTTTTTTTTTTTGAGGCAGAGTCTCACTCTGTTGCCAGGCTGGAGTGCAGTGGTGTGATCTCGCCTCACTGCAATCTCCGCCTTTCAGGTTCAAGTGATTCTCTTGCTTCAGCCTCCCAAGTAGCTGGGACTATAGGCGTGTGCCACCACACCCAGCTAATTTTTGTATTTTTAGTAGAGACGGGGTTTCACCATGTTGGTGAGGATGGTCTCGAACTCCTGACCTCGAGATCCACCAACCTCAGCCTCCCAAAATGCTGGGATTACAGGCATGAGCCACCATGCCCGGCCGAGTTGCTTCTTTCTTGCTGCTTTCAAGATTCTATTTGTCTATGTCTTTTGATAGGCTAATTATAATGTGTCTTGGTGTAGATATCCTTGCATTTACTTTACTAGGAGTTTGTTGAGCCTCTTAGATGTGTAGATTTATTCTTTCATCTAATAGGTAAATTTCTCATCACATTTATTTATATATTCTTTCTGACCCTTTCTCTGTTCTCCTGTTGGAGCTCCCATATGAATATTTTGATTCTTCTGGTGATGTCTAACAGGTCTATTAGGCTCCAGTCACTTTTATTTGTTTATTTCTTATTGTTCCTCAGATAAGATTATTTCAAATGACCTATATTAAAGTTCACTAATTCATTGTTTTGCCTGTTCAAAATTGCTGCTGAATCCTTTTTTTAATGAATTATTAATTTTAGTTATTCTACTTTTTAGCCATCTAGTTTTTATAATTTATATCATTTCATTTTTATTCTCATTAGGTTCCTAAATAATTACCCTGATTTTCTTTAGCTCTTTTTCCATAATTTCCTTTAACTCTTTGAGTATATTTAGATAGTTTATTTAAAGTATCTTAGTAAATCTAATGTCTCTACTTCCTTAGGGGAAGTTTCTGTTCTTTTACCCAGTGAGTAAACTATCATTTCTGTTTTCTTTGCCTACTTAGTAATTTTTTTTCCTGAAGTGGCATATTGTTTGCTATAGGCTGTAATTATTTGTTTGTTTAGTGACTTTTCTAAGACATTTTTGTAAATTATGTATTATTTGCAATGTGTATTCTCTGAAGTCTCTTTAGATTTTGTTTGACTATGTTTTGACAGATATTTCTTTGACAAGAAGGAGCAAAAAAAAGACACAATGAGATTAAAAACATGAGAAAGATTGAGAACAAGAGCAAGAGTGAGAGTGGGATAGAAAGAAAGAAAAAAAGAGAAGAAGAAGAAGAAAAAAGTTCACCCAATCTTTGAAGATGGGTTCTGTGCTAGGGAATTCTTTCAATGATCAGCCAGGTTTGCTTTGAGACTAGACATCAGCCAGACAGAAAAGTATAAAGTCTTCTCATTGTTTTTAGCTTATGTCCTATTCTGGCCATGTGCATAGCTTTCTAATACTCTAGTCCATATATGCACTTTGAAATGACAAGATAACCCGAAGAAACTCTTTACCTAGCTTTTTCTTCCAAGCTTTAAGTACTCTACTGTATGCCTCAATCACAGTCTCTTGTCACAAGTCGTTATGGGTTTTTTTTCTCAATTTTACAGTTTTAATATTTTTTTTGGAGGAATGTGCACAGTCTTTATGTCCGTCGTTGCTAGTTAGGCAAAACACAGACAAGTACCTTGCATGAATCCTTCAAATAGCCATCGAGCAGGTTAGAATGAAGAAATACAGCTCTTTTTAAGTAAGGTCTGCTCTTTCTCTCTAGATCCAGAGAACAGGGTTCATATTGGGAACACAGGATGCCATCTTTAAGACCATCACTGAGCTAAGGAGTATTAGAGAAAGGTCAAATAAAAACGCCACAAGGTGTTCCTACATTTAAAATTTGCCTATTTTTGTTTCGATTTGATATTATTTGCATTGCTCTAAATCTTTGAGTGCTTTCCAGGGTTTCGACAAAGTTGATTCTGACAGTTTTTTCTTGGCTATGCTGTTTCTATGAAGAAGAATGCTTCAAGACTGCTAATCTTGACATTTTATCTAACTTTATCCTTATAAGTATGTTTTTACTCAGTGACCCAACTCTTATTTCACTCAGTCCTGCTGCACTAACACCCTTTCCTTAACTCACGATTATGATTTCATAAAGACTTCCCTTCCATCTTGCTACTGAGTATATTGTGTAGCTATTGCCACAATAATGCGGTGCATCTAACTCTAAAATGAAGTGGTTTTCAATAATAATCACTCATTATTGCACACAAATCTGTATATTTGGGTCTTGAGATTTAGCTGATGTTTTCTATGCTCAGTTAGGTGAATTTTATTCTCACTGCAGCTAGATGGGGCATTCAGCTTCAGGCTTCGCTGTCCAGGGAAGCTTCACCATATTCCTCATGGTAATGACAAAGGTGCGAGAAAGTATATGGAAATATGTAAGACCTTGGTCAGAACTAGAACATCAGCACTTCAGCTGCATTCTATTGGGCAAAGACACAAAGAAAGATCTAAGAAAATGAGTAAAGACTCATACTCTGATGGCTTAGTGAGAGTAATTTAAAAAGTAACATGGCCATGAATCTTGTTCATGAAGCAGTGAAGAATTAAAATTGAAGCTAAAAATGGAACCTGCCACAGTGGGTAAGAAAATACTAAAGCATGGTTGTGTAGCATTATAATCCCACTGAAGGTGATGCTGGGAAACTGAGAGGGAAGGAAATATTTCCAAAGGGCAGAATTTCAAGCAGAACATACAATTATTCACTTTTCCTAGAAAGATAAGTGGTTAGATGTATGGAACTTTTCTGATTTCATGAGCATATGTTTATAATTAGGCTTTATAGACAAAGACCTGGAAAGAACATGACTGAAAGATGAGTGAAAAGGAGAAGCTGTGCTGATAGGACACTCCAAATAGGATGAGTGTGAGAAGTTGTGTCTTGTGTGAATTCTCACCTTAGAAAAACACTTAAGATATTTGAGTAGACCTCTGTGGAAATTCTTCTTCTTCTCTCTACAGCTTCCCAGGTCACTAAAGGAGCTCAGAGAAAAAGAGGACATGCTGGCAGGGGTAGAGATTTATACTTGGACTTTACAGAACCTTCTCTTCATCAAGATAGGTTACACTAGTGCCAAAACTGATATTTCAGTGTGCCAACCTACAGATCAGACAAGTGCTAAGCCCCTGATGCAGCACTATGGTATAGGGGCTATTAGAGCAAACAAGAAACAAAAAAAGTTGATGTGTTCGTGGGGAGAATTATTCAGATCATCACAGAAAAGTGAGGTTCCTCCTACACAAAGGGAGCATGGAGGGGGAACTATTAGCTCTCTACCTAATGGTAAAACCTATTAATATGATATCAATATAAAATAACCTAGGTCATTTAGTGAGATAAAGAACCCAGTTCAGCAAAGATTCTGAGTGGGGACAAAAAAAATGCATGGAACATGTGCAAAAAAATTATCATACATGCAAATTATGGTCTCATGGTTGTTGTGAAAACGAAGACCATATGAACTACCCACTGTTTTGTAATTTTAGTATATAATTATATAATTTTACTAATTCTTTCTTTTCCCTTCCCATTTTACAGTATTATTCTATATAGGATGGGCTAGTGGTATTTAAATTTAACTTTTATTTCATAGATTGCAAAAAATTGAGGATTGTGACTGAAATAAATGGAGAATTAAAAACACCCAGATATATAAATGTGACAGATGAGTTGTCTCCCCTGAAGAATAGGATAAGAACATTCAGTGAACTGCTGATGTTAGTTTAGTTGGTAGTAGGCTGTTGCTGTAATTGTTGTTCAGTTTGTAAGCACAAGAAGCAGAGTATGCGTGCTATGTGTGGTTGTTGAATAGCTGTCGACTGTGGCAAATACTGGGAATTGGCTCATCCAACATCTATTCCTGCAATATCTCAGGAGCAGATTACAGACAGGAAAAAGTGCACACCAAAGATTTCTTTTCATCTAGAGTTTTGAATATAATGTACTGTATAGCAATCAGATGCATTTTCAAGATTTAGGTCAGGTAAAAGAAAGCTAAGAATATAGAACATCCATTTGGCTAACACAGATCATGGCTGTGGTGGAATGGTCTGAAGCTAGCAGATTCTTGATTCATCATTTTCTGCAGTGATGGAGCAGTTTTACTGATTTTGGCAGAGCCAGAATATATCTGGGTGCTAAAAATTTTCCTAAAACCTTAGCCTAGATACTGACTTTTGACATTCCAACAACTATTTAACCACATAACTTCCTGTATTAAGTCATTTCTTAGCTTAAACAGACTATAACGCATTCTTTTGTTTACAACTGACCACTTTCCAGTATAGCTTCTAAATGAAAACTTAATTAATTTAATCAGAACAAAAAGGTTGAAACTCTAACAAAAAATAATCTCTTAACTAAAAATAACATTTTTAAATACTTAAAAACAATAACAAGGATAGATGTGGAAAACACTTCCATGATGTGGCTAACAACATATTTCCAATCTTCTAAGAATACAAACACTATATCCAAATAACCCAAGAAAATGTCATTCAGGCTATAACTTGCTGCATTATCAGTAGACGAAACAGTTTTTCAGGCTTTCTACACTTCTTTTCATCTTTTAAATGCCCTTATGTATGGGTTAAAGAAAATCTGTTTCCATGACAATTAACTAATACTGTATAAAATTGCTTTCTACCCATTATGTTAGGTAAATGAAAATAAAATATATTACTGTATTTCTTTAAATCACGAATGGAAAGAGGACAATGGGGATAATAACAATATTGAAATTTTTTTGACAAACCAAATCTGATCTGAAATCCTGAAACTATCTCCTGAAGTACAGACAGTGGAAACTAGCAAAACAACTTGCCATTATTTTGTAGAGTCTATTTTAGACATCGAATATGATTAGATTTTTAATTATCACCTTTCAGATATCACCATAAATTATAAAATAAACTGGAAAACCTTAGGTGATTAATCCACAGGCATCATAATTGTCTCAAAAGCCTGATGACAAAAGATATAACATGAAGTGAACAAATGCCATCGATATCTAAAAGATGAAATGCAACAGAGTGACAAGGGAGAAAATGCTACATCACACACCTCCTGTAATGCCAGATTAGTCCTTTTCACTTCTTACCTCCTGCACTAAAGTATAATTTGGAAGGTAATTTGGTA
This sequence comes from Homo sapiens, assembly GCF_000001405.40. Lineage (NCBI taxonomy): Eukaryota > Metazoa > Chordata > Mammalia > Primates > Hominidae > Homo > Homo sapiens. The sequence goes on along the minus strand of NC_000004.12, from coordinate 91,728,724 downwards.
TCTCAGTTCTCCCAAAGTTGTTGTATAAGATATGAAGTAAGACTTGTTCTGACCTGCAGGATCACTGAAATGAAAAAGCAACATTCAAATACTCTGAGGTTTGTGGTCAGAAAGACAAGGTAAAAATGCATATATACTAAGGAAGAGAAGTGTGAATTTAGTGCCACTTCCCCAAATCTTATCACAACCACAAATAAATGTTTCTTATGGTATTTCATAATCAATTTATAGTTCAATTTATAATAAGGCACTCAGAAATGGATAGACTAAATAAGGTTTCTTACACTAAGCAATATAGTTAGAATCATAAGTCTGATATAAATCCAAAATTCTCAATAGAAACTTAGTATAGATATTACATATAGAACTTGAAAAAAAAATAAAAGAATGTGAAAAAAGCTCATAAAGGATGAGGACATCTTCAAAATTGTTATTTTTTTTCTATCAAAATTAGCCAAAATGATACTTTGCAAAAGATATTCAAATTAGCTAGCTTAAAACTTAACATTCTTAACATGTTTGTTAAATATTTTATGTAATAAATTATCATCACCTAGTTATTACACCTAGTACTCACTAGTTATTTTTCCATTTCTAACAACGTTATTAAGTCAAAAGGCATGAATACTATTAAAGGATCAGCATTTATACACCCCTGAGTTGTTTCCCTTATTTTTAGTTTTATATTATTATGTATACATTTATGTAAATTGCCTTCACTCTTTTCTAAGTCAAGGTGAAGTCTAAGTAAACCAATAATAAGGTGAAAAAATAAATAAGATATAAAATAAAATAAATTCTTAGAGTATTACAAAAGACATACAAAGTTAATCCTAATTATGTGGAAATTAAGGCAATAGAGATAACTAGAAATTAGATGTATGTAATACACACATGTATGTGTGCATAAATGTAAGAGTATAGTTGATTCTAATATTTTCATGGTGGTGTGATCACTAAATTAGCAAATACTGAAGCATTGCTCCTGGGAAAAGTACAGAGGTAGGTTCATGATGAGAGATTCTGGTCATATTTTCATCTACTGATTAGTAGAGAGCTTTATTTATGTGTGCTTCTGTTTACTTAATATATATTTTTGATTGATTAACATTGAACTCACAACCAATAGCACTATAATTCAAGCCTTATGTAACACAAGTATTTTTCCCTACAAGGCACATCACAATCTTCTTGTGCCTACAAACACTAGACAGCAACTCAACTCTATGCCTGGCGGCCACTTAAACAGTGATGAACTAACCAATTAAAAGCACAAAAATATAAAAAAACATGGCATTCTATAGGTCACATAAAAGACACCTGCTTACAGTATGAAAATTTAAACAAGAAGGCAGAGTATCTTCTTTAACTTCATCTAGGAATGTGTATGTTGAGTGATTGAAATTTTTCACTACTCTGTGCATGCGCTTGAATGACTACAAAAGTTCCACAAGTGCGGATTTTGGTATTACAAATACATTTTAGGAAGTACATATGCTCTCTATATGTGTGCATACACTTGTATGTATGTATATTTGTGTATATATGCATTAAATATATATATTATATGTATACATGTATAAATATATGCATGTATAGATGCATGCATAAATATATATTGTATACACACATATAACAACAAAATAACCTCAAAGAAAGTGGAAGAAGAAGAAGAAATATAAGAAAATAAATGAATAAACAGAAAAATCGAGGAGATAAAAAAAATTATGTGAAACAGTAATAACATTGGCAAGCTTCTGTACTATGCTAAGGAAAAGAAAGAAAGCAAACTTTAAAAGTACTAGGAATGTAATAGAGGTATCACTAATACTGGAATATAATAAATTAGAAAAAATAAAATTAAAACTATATAAAACTAAATTGAATACTAAAAATGAACAATTGTAGAACATATTAAGAAATATTACTTCAGAAGAAATAGGAAATATGAGGGTATCTGTAATCACTACATTTAAATAATAGTTAAAAAATCTAGTCCTCAAAACAAAGCAGTCCTACATGACTTTTTAGGAGACCAATACTAAATAATCAAGTGTCAAAAAGTTTTTTTCTTTTTACTATTATTTCCCAAGAAAAGTGAAAGGGAAAATCCATCTTAAATGCATTATATGAGGCTAATCTTAATTTCACAATCTGAATGAGACCTATGAAAAAATTACAATCTATCTCAATCATAAACATAGATGCAAAAATCCTAAAGAAACTGTTCCCAAATCAAAGCCAACATATAATTATTTTGGTAATTGCAGAATAAGCATACAATAAAATTCAACAGTTTTCATGATCAAAACTCTTAAGCTGGGAATGGAAGGAAACTATCCAAATCTGATAAAATGTACCTACATAAAAACCTGTATAAAATTTTACACTCAATGTTGAAAAAGACAAGGATGTTTACTAACACTATGCTTATTCAGCATACTCTTGAAAGTCCTACCTAGCGATGTAATAACCAGTAACAGCAAATATATATAGTTATATTTTCATTCCATATATACATATGTATACACATATATGAATGGGCTTATATATGTATTTTATATATTTAAATATAAGAGAATAAATATATATATGTGGAATGAGAAGAAAAACAGCTATTATTTGGATTTCACAATCATCTAAATAAATATTTGAACAGAATCTAGAGAATTTACAGAAATAAAAAAATCTGGCAATTTTGCTGGTGTAAATTTTAAAATTGAATTTAAAAGTTTTAATTGTGTTTTTTCTGTGATGGTTAACTTTATATATCAACTTAACTGGACCATGGAATGGCTAGATATCTAATTAAGCATCATTTCTGGGAGTATCTGTGAGGACAGAGTTCCAGGTGAGACTGGCATTTGAATTGGTGGACTTGAGTAAAACAGATTGACCTCCCCAATGTGGGTGGGCATCATTCAATTCATTGAGGACCTCAGTAGAACAAAACTACGCAGGAAGAGTAGACTTACACACTCTCTGCTTGACTGCTTTAGTTGGGACATCAATCTTCTCCTGCCTTTGATGTTCTTAATTCTTAGGCCTTTAGACTTGGACTGCAATTTATACCATCAGCCCTCTTGTTCTCAGGCTTTTGAACTATATCACTAGATTTGTTGGATCTCTGGCTTGCAGATTGTTTGACTTTACAGTCTCCATAATTATATGGGCTATTTCCTTATAATAAATCTCTTATTTATTATATATTCTATTGGTTCTGTTTCTCTGATAAACTCTGACTAATATGCTTTCACAATAATACTCACTTAGCAAATATAATACAAAAATACTTGTAATTCAGTAGTTAAAATGTATAGCATCTCAGAATAATTCCAGTAAAAGTATGAATTATGTTTTAGCAGTAAACTAACTTTTTTTTCAAAGACATAAAAAATGATTTAAATAAATGGAAATGGAAATTTCTTGAACAAAAATATCCAATTCCATGGAGTTATCATACTATCAAAATTAATTTACATTTTCAAATTAGAAAGTTTCAACAAGGTCCTTCACAAAATTCAATAATAGGATTCCAAAATTTACAGGGAGGAGCAAAAGATTAAATATTACTGAGGTAATTCTAAAGAAAAAGAACTAATTTTGGGGAACTTCTCCTACTAGATATCAACATCTATAAAGACCTCTAGTATTTAAGGTATGTAGCAGTGGCACAGAAGTAAGTAAAAAGGACAATAAAAAACTTTATAGAATCCAGACATATATATACATATATATACACACATATACACACACACTCATATACATATATCATGAGTATATGTATATAAGTGTGTGTCCTTCTTACTTTATACATATACACACACACACACTTATATACATATACTCATGATATATGATCAAATTCATGATCAAAACTTTTAAGCTGGGAATGGAAGGAAACTATCCAAATCTGATAAACTGTATCTACATAAAAACCTGTATAAAATATTACACTCAATGTTCAAAAAGACAAAGTATAAGATTATAGAGAACACATTAACAGAATGTATCTGGTTATAAACTATCAAATTTATCTTGGGTATACAACATGAAATACACATCAATACTCATGATATATGTATATGAGTGTGTGTGTGTGTGTATGTATATATATATATATATATATGATAACTTGGTTTATAATAAGGGATGGGGGTATTGTAGAAATTGCAGTTCAGTGGAGAAAATAATGGATTCCAAAGTAATTCATGCTTGGAAAACTTATAGTTGCATTAAGAAATTAATTCCTACTATAGCTTGTATAAAAAATCAGTTGCAGATGAAAAACAGAACTATACAATCTTTTTTAAAACTTCAAGATAGAGATTTATGTGACTCACTTTTTGAATGAAGTAGAATTATTGTAGTACATTTAATTACATGATGGTATATCAATTACCTGTTGTTGCCTAACAAACTACTATAAAATTAGTAACTTAACAACCACTTATTTTCCCTCATGAGATACAGATACTCTGGAAATTTTAACTAATATGGGCAGGCTTCCTTGATTTGGCTGGGCTCATTCATTCCTCTGTTAACAGATAATGGCTCTGCTCGCGTCTCACTAATTTAGGACGGCCTAGGTTGAGATGACTAGCTCTGCTTCCTGTGGTCTGTCATCCTCCTATAGATTTACATCAACTTGTACTCATGGGAGAGGAAGGGTTCCGAAGTCTTTTTAGGCCTATTATTGTAAGTGGCACCATGTTATTTCCTCCACACCCTATTAGCTATAGCAAGCCACAGGAAAAATCAAATTCAAGGAGCAGGAAAATAGAATCTGCCTTATGATGTATGGAGCAGAAGACTAAGAATGTCCCAAAATGAGGAATCAGAGAAGACTGCAGAATAAATTCCATTTTTGCAATCAATCTACCACAGGTCATAGTGTTTCCTCTTCTCTACTTAATTTCTTTTAATTGAAAGTAAATAAAAATGACAGTAAAAAGGTTTCTCAGAAGTAAAATATCTTTTGTCTTTTCAATATTAGGTAGTAATATGATTTTCTCCAACATTTATATGCATTAATAATATATTCAAGGGAAAATAAGACAACCTTTTTTTTCAGAAATCTTCACTGTATTACTCTATTTGCTTATTAACATCCTCTTCTTGCTTTTGTAGAATTTAATTAGAACCAAAGTAGAAGATTATAGAGAACACATTAATAGAATGTATCTGGTTATAAACTATCAAATTTATCTTGGGTGTACAATATGAAATACACATCAATAATAATCTATATTTATAAGGAACATTTTGGTAATAATATGGACTTTTAAAAACATATATAAATGTACAATTCAATAAAATATATTCAAGTTTCCATTTGGAAAATGTATTTCAATAAGCATTTACTTGTTGTGAACAGAAGATATTAAAAGAAAATAAATTTAACTATTAGGACAAATGTTCTATGGTATTTCCAGCTCAACGAATTTAAAAATGCAATAGATAAATAAAACTTTTAAAATAGAGTGAAAAAATTATGTTTGCAATAGACATTCTTAAATTATTATATGCTTATTGAATTACATTATATTTTACTGTAAATGATTTGCCTTAAGATTACAAACATAGTTTATCTTCCATCTGAAACAGAGACTTCTCATATTCACATTTTACAATGTTCTTAAATAGCTTAAGTAGAATTAACTTAGGCAAGTAATGCTATTGAGTGGAAAAGGAGATGAGAAAAACAATTTGGGGGATATTGTTCACAGCCAGAGCTACTCAAAGAATAAATTTAGTTTTTTTTCTTTTTCTTTTCTTTTTTTTTTTGAGACGGAGTCTCGTTCTGTCGCCTGGGCTGGAGTGCAGTGGCGTGATCTCTGCTCACTGCAAGCTCCACCTCCCAGGTTCACGCTATTCTCCTGCCTCAGCTTCCCGAGTAGCTGGAACTACAGGCACCCGCCACCACGCCAGGCTAATTTTTTTTTTTTTTTTTTTTTTTGTATTTTTAGTAGAGACGGGGTTTCACCGTGTTAGCCAGGATGGTCTCGATCTCCTGACCTCGTGATCCACCCACCTTGGCCTCCCAAAGTGCTGGGATTACAAGCGAGAATAAATGTTTTTAACATTTATTCAAAAAGAGATAAAAATTCAATTCTACTTGATTCCATAAATTTTGTTACAAATTTATACCAACCCCAGTATATACAACCCAGTATCTCCCAATTATCTGTGGTTTAATAATTATTGAAAATCCACATTTAAAAATTCTGAAAAATATTTTTATTACAATGCTTATGTAACTCCATATTCAGAGCAACAAAACCCACTGTTCAGACAGGCAGTATAATAGATTTTGAAAGTAATAATCATTTTAAAAGAAATGATAACTTTCATCTAAGGAAAAATTTAATTTTTTATGAATTCATACGATTTATGAAATTTTTATAAATGTATGTGCTAAGATCAAGATATAGAACTCTTAAAGTTACACTCTAAAAGCAACTGTACATTTAAAGAATATGAAAAGTTTTAATGATACACACAGTTACAGATAGGAAAGAAGTTTGAAGTTATTTACCAAATGCATCAAGAATGCAAATATTTGAATAAGCTAAAAGTCCTTAATAAAATTTGATTACCTTGATAAAACATAGCAATGAGATAAAATGCTAAACAACTTTGAATACTTTATAACTTACAAAGAACTTTTATAAACATTGTCATTTTTATTACAACATAGGAAATCAGAATCCGAAAGGTGATTAAAAATAGTGCAGAATTTTTGTAATTATTTTGTATTCATTAATTTTATATTTTTAAATTAAGGTGAAATTTGTATAAGCTGCACATCCTGAAGGTTATAATTTCATTTTAATAAACCACTGCATTAATCAATATAAGTAATATTTCCATCATACCAGAATGGCCCATTATGACTATTTCAGTAAGTTCCCTCTTCTTAAGGCAATCTTATTCTGATTTGTAATACTATTATTTTGACTTAAACTTCGTAAGAATAGAATAATGCTATTTTTAAACATAAACTAAAGTGAATTTATCTATATGTACTCACATGATCTAGTAGTTTTTCTTCTTTAAACTACTAATGTAGTAAGAAAATTTTTCAAATGTTACCAAAAACAGCAAATAAACACAGAAAATATTACATTTCAACTTGGTCATGATAAATTATTAAATATATGATAAATTATATATTATTATATGATATTTACATATAGTTGCATTTGATTTTCTGATATTTTGCAAAAACAGTGTCTATTTTTCAGAGTGATATTGGTCTGTATTTTTCTTGTGATATAATCCTCAAGTTTTGGTACCAGGGTCATTCCATCCTCATAGAACAAGTTAGCATGTGTTCTCTCCTTTATTTTCTGAAAGTTTTGTAAGATCTACTATGTCAAGCTTTACTTTGTGATAAAACTCACCCTATAATCCATCTGAATCCAATCCAGAGTTTTCTTTGTAAGACAGTTTTGTAACAGATTAAATTACTTAAATGAAGTTGAATCTAATCAAATTTTTTATTTCTTCTTATGTCAGTTTTGACAAGATGTGTTTTAAAAGAAATGCATCTGTTTATTTACACTGATAAATTTGTTGCTACAGTATGAATCTTAATATTTTATTATCTCTAAGATTTTGATGAAATTGCTTACTAAATCACATACGCATAGGCACACACACACACGCACGCACGTACGCACAGCAACAACTGTGCAGTCTCACTAGGAAACTCAAGCCAGCAGAAGTAGCAAAGGCACCTGATACCTAAAAGTCTTTAAGACTTTGAGCTATTCCATAATCTGTTTATTTATTTATTTATTTATTGTAAGACAGGGTCTTGCTCTGTCACCTAGACTCGTATGCAGTAGCCAGAAGAGAGCTCATCATAACCTCTAACTCTGCTCAAGCAATCCTCCCACCTTAGCCTCTCAAGGAGCTAGGGCTACAAGCATGTGCCACCACATTGGCTAATTGGTTTTTTTTTTTAATTTTAATTTTTATTTTTTGTAGAGACAAGGTCTTGCTGTGTTGCACAGGCTGGTCTAAAACTTGTGGCCTCAAGCAATCCTTCTACCTCAGCCTCCCAAAGCCCTGAGTAATTTTTACAATAAAAAATAGAGTCAGTAAAATAAATGTACAACACAAACTTAGGGCAATAAACTTAGAGAGTTTAAAATTAAAACAGATAGTGAAGAATTGTTACTATTTTTAAACACAAAGTTCCAATTTAAATCTCTAAATTTTTCTTATTAAATCTAGTGTTTTTAGGAAAATCTGAAGTCTCTGTTTCTTACAGTTATGGAAACTAGTATACCCTTTTTAAAATGAAACAAAACACAAAACTACAGGAGTTCCCATAGTATAAGATCATAAGTAAGTTAGCACCAATAACATATTAACAAATAAAATAAAACACATGACGTTTTTATGGATTATTCTTTTGCAAAGATAACACAATATAACCTTTCTTTGTACAGTTCCCCCCCCTTTTATGAACTCTTAACTTCTAATAAAAGGAAAAAAATCAAATAAACTTTATTACAATAAGAAGCAAAGGAGTGTGCTTTCCTTGCCTTATCAAAAAACAGTTTATAGCTGATATTGTAGAATTTTAAAATATTATATTTTATTTTTCACTAAATAACACCCCTTAAAATTTCAATCTTTCATGTATTCTTTAATGGGAATAAATTTAACAAACTTTTCAGAATATTAGTTTAGTTAGATCACATTTCTTCTCTAAAAGAAAGGAGGTCACTGGACAAAATATAAAGACTGAAAATTGAAGCACCAAATTTATTTTAAAACCACTTCACTTATAAATTTTTATGTGATGAAAGGTGATCAAAATAGATTCGATTCATTTTTCTCAAAATATATTCTAGACAGTAAAGTATTTGACGACAATGTAAATAGTGTTTGATTGCCAAATATACCAGAAAAATTTACTGGGTGCCATTTTTTTTTTCTGTGATGGACAAGACATATGAGTTACTTTTCTAATGAAACTCACAATACACCAGGAAACACAGATATTAAATAGCTAAGTCACATTATGAATGCCAAAGAAAAATATAGATAATTATTATAATCAATATTTTGTTTTCTTCCATCTCAGAACTACCCCATCTCTGATCACTTTACAGGGCGACTTCCTGCCCTCTCACCTAGCTACTCAATTCCCTGTTACTCATTCAAGTACTAGATTCTTCAGAAAATTTTCTCTGGTTTCTCTTCTTTTAAGGATATTCCCAAGTCTTGATTAGAAGTCCCTCTTTAGGCTTTGCTTGTATTTGTATCTTCTTTATCAGAGTAATTCACATATACTATTTTTATTGCCTATTTGTATGTTTGTAATGTCTGCTACTTCATATTATATTGTTTTCACCTCAGCTGTATCTATTCCTTACAAAACCCTATATGATTGGTACAGTTACTCTTTTTATACAGATAAGCACATTGAGATCTAGAGTTGTTATATAACCTCACATGATCATACACTTTAGTAAATAGTAGGGTCAGGATCAAACCCAATAGTGAATGGAACTTTCACTATTGTAAGTAACAACAAATAAGTCGCCCTTAACACAATCACGATTGGCTACCTAAAAGAGACAGGCTTTTTGCAATAAAACATTCCAGAAGTCACAACTTGGAAACCATTATTCCCAAATGTGCTTTTTCCCCAACATACCTATTTTTTCTTTATTACACTTTCCTTATTATACATTCTTATATACCATGCTTAAGATAATTATTTTTATGTTAGTTTAGAGCCATAGGAAACAATAAAATGCTTTGTTAAATCAAAGTCTCAGGCTTTTCAAAAGTTTCATAATATCCCCAACATACATTTCATAGAACTTACAGATTTCCCTTATGGTTTATTTTAATCAAAAGATAAATTTTAGTACTCCATGAGGACTGATACATACAATATTGCAATTTCAAGAGATAGAAGTTATTCCTATTATGTCTGTTACTTGATCACAGAGTATACACTAATCCTCATGGTTGAAGGAATTTGCCTAGAGAAGTCAAATGATGCAATATATAATATGTCGGTTTCATATTTGTAACAAGGGGTATTTTCCAGGTATATTTCTGAATAAAATATCCAGTTATGCCATGAGATGACTCATTCTTTTTTACTCTTTCCTCCTTCTGTTTTATCCCCATTGAGAGCATGAGTAGTGCCCTCGACACCCCCTTCCAATTGTCAGCAAAATCAAATCTTAAGTGTAAAACAACTGGTTGGATTTATTTAACCATCTATGGGAAATATAAACTTTAATTTTAAGTGCAATCCATGTCCCATTGGCAGCCTCTATTTTCTTCCAAACCAACTTTGAAGCAGGACTTCATGGCACCCCCTTTAAAATAATGCATCTTATAAAGCAGCAGCAGCTAATATAGATTGAACAGAGATTTCAAAGTATGCAGACTTACACTACTTCCTCCATGACATAAAACTTCCTTAATTCTCTGTTGTAATTCCACACTAGGCATCTAACTGTCCACAATCATGGCATTCTTCACCTGTCTCTTTGTACATGCAGTCTTGCTTTTTCACCCTTCCTTTCTCTTTATTTTCTCTGAGCCTTTGCTGTGCCTCCTTTTTTTAAAAGCAAACTAATTTTACTGTCTTATTTCCCCCAAATGCACTTATTCAGAAACATTGCCTCTTTCATAAAAAAAAAAAAAGTCCCTCTGAATACCTAGGAGCCACCTTCATTAGAAAACAAGAGAGAATTGTAAATAACATTTACAAATTTTTATTTTTTTTTGTAATCAGCTCTTTAGTAATTCAAAGGAGGAACTGTTCTTTTGACAATAAAATCACATGGCTTTTTTTGTACTCTGAGATGACATCATACAGATTCTAACTTTAGCTGTTCTCAAAGATAATACTGGATCCTGTATCTTGGAGAAAAATATACTAACTGCAAATCCTGTATAATAATACACATAAGGAAACTCAATTACCTCAATGGCAGTGTCCATCAAGACAGACAAATCAACAATACTAAGGATGTAAAAATAAGATGTAAACACTATAGTGGGTTGAATAGTAGCTACCCAAAAGATATGTTCACATGGTATGTGTCAATGTGACCTTATGTAAGACATGTCTTTGAGAGGTAACTGAATTAATGATCTTTAGGTGAGATCATCCTAGATTACTCAGGCCAATCCTAAATCTTTGTATGAGATGGAAGAGAAGACAGAAAGACACATAGAGTGGGAGGTGATGTGAAGATTGAGGCAAAGATGGGAGTGATGTGTCTACAAATCCCAACTATTGCCAGCAGAAATCAGAAGCTAAGAGAAAGGCATGGAACCAGAGCCTCAGGGAATCTCAAAGGAACCAACCCTGTTTCTGGCCTCCAGATCTATGAGAAATTCATTTTCTATTATTTTAAAACAGGTTATTTATGATTATTTATTGTGCCAGCTCTAGAAAACTAATACAGATGTTTTTGTCTCAAACTAACAATCTTTCATAACATTTAATGGGTATTATTGTTACTTGTCTCTTATTATACTGGGAATATAGTGTAGGGAATTGAGGACTGACTTTAAAGGCAGAACAATGAGTTTAAACTTGTGTCTCAACTTTACTTTTTATTAACTGTGTGAAAAAGTTATATCTTTAGTTTTTCATCAAACATGGGATAATATTGTATTAAATATGATAAACAGTATTTAATCTCATTTTCTTATAATTTTCATGTTTATAAATGATGCTATTACACATTTAAAGAAAATGAAGTAGATTATAAAGTTTATTACAGGAAGAAGCAATTCTTTGTTCTATCACTCTTCCTTTCCACATCTTTTGTTCCTTGATTTTTAAACCTGTTTGATGTGATAACATTATAAGCATAAGTAAATATGATGATATTGTCAAATTTGTATTTATCAGTTTTAGATACATATTTGTTTTCTATTATAATAGTTCAGGAATTAACACCATTATACTTCTCAACTCCTTATTCCCTATTGCTCAATGTAATTTTAGCACAACTGTGAGTGAATCAATACTATGGGTATTCACATTATTTTGACTACATAAATAGTGAAAATTGTTAAGTCAGGTAATTTACATTGGTTATATTTCCTTTCTCTTACAATTTTTTTATTTTTTGTATCTCTAATTTTCCATGTGTATATCATCATTTTTCTCTAATCTTCAACAGCTTTATGATATTTCTACTATGAATTTTATTTTTAAATTTATAGAGTTTCAAATGCTGGGCATTTGATTTTTTTCTTGGGTAAATGCTATCTATATTTCTTCTTTCTTTTTCCAACCTTATCCCACTAGGAAGCTCATAAAGCAGTGTATGAGAGCTATAGATTGAAAACTTGAATGTTGATAAATGACGTTATTTTGCCCTTACCATTAATTTAAGTTTATAATGGGTATAAAATTTTAGTTTAAAAAGTCATTATTTTTTCATAATTTTGAAAGCATTACTATATCTTCTATATCCGCTGTCACTACTGAGTTTTGTTATCATGTTTCCTGTTTGTTTTTGGAGTCCTATTACCCCTAAACTTTCTTCAATATCTTTCTATTTTTGGTCTCACATGAAAAATGAAGACTGAAGCACAGAGGAGATTGTCAAAAGTTCTGAGGACATGAGTAGGAATTATTAACACATGACTTATGTTAATAGAGCAACAGGAAAATGGCCTTTTCTTTGGAATACCCCCAAACGTCAGTACTTCAATATCCTTCCTTTTGGGATTGAGCAATTTCTGTAACAATGTAGTCCACCATTCACCTGTCTTTGAAGTATACCTCTGTGGCAGTGGGAAGATGGTTCTGCAACCCCAATATGCAGTACTAAAACACATCCCAAGATCTATAGTTCCCAATAGCCTAAGTATAAGGATTCCAATTAAATTTCTTCAGAAAATAAATCTCTGGTCTTCTGTAGGGATGAGAGGGAAAGTAGGTCCTTTCAATCAGTCCCCTTCAGTACCTTCATTTCCATGTCCTTTGCCTCTTTTTCTGTTACTCTGCAGGGTGAATAAGGTCTTCTTATCATTTCCTGCTTCTGTTGGTACATTAGATTTATTTTCTTTTGTCCTTAGTTACCAATTTTTATTGGCTTATTTTAATTTTCCAAAAACTTATTGATACCTCTGATCAACTATTTTTTTTATTTTCTTTGTCCCTAATGAATGAATGAACATGTTGCCTCATAAAAAAAAAATTACATAAATTTAGCAGCTTAAAACAACACAAATTTATTACCTCACACTTTCTGTGGAGCAGGAATCTGAGTATGGCTTAGCTAGGTGCTCTGCACAGGGTCTCACCAGACTAAAATCAAGATATTGACTAGGCTGCAATGTAACCTGAGGCTTGGGATCCTCTTTCAAGATCATTGGTTGTTAATGAAGTTCAGTGATTTTTAGATATAAGACTGGAGACCTAGTTTTCTCACTGGCATCAACCAGGAAATGCACAGTTTCTAGAAGCCAAGTTAAGATCCTTGCAGTATAAATCCTCTATAGGCAGCTCACAACATGGACTATGCTTCTTCAAGGCCAGCAGGAAAATCTTGCTTCAAATCTTTCTGATCTCTTTTAAGGACTCAGCTGATTAGGTCAGCCTCACCTGAGATAATTTCCTTTTTAATGAATTTAAGTAATCATGGATCTTAAAATCATCTTCAAGTAATCATGGATCTTAAAGTCATCTTCAAAATCTCTCCTACCATGTAACAAAATAATTGCAGGAGTGATATACTATTGTACTCACAAATCCTGCTCACATTTAAGGGAAAGGATTTAGCAGAGTATGTACGCCAGTAAGTGGGAATCTCTGAAGCCATCTGAGACTCCTGCCTCTCACTATATATATATCAACTACTGTAAATATGTGAGTAATATTTTCAGAACACGCAATCCATCAGAAGTTAACTTTTTGATTATAAGTTGACAATTTATAATTGTATACATTCATAAAGTGCAAGGTGATGTTACAATTTATGAATACAATGTGGAATAATTAAATCAAGCTAATTCACATATTTATCACCTCAAAAAATTTACTTTTTGTGGTGGGAACATTTGAAATTTACTTTCTTAGCAATTTTGAAATGTGCAATGCACTGTTATTAACTATATTCACCATGCTGTACAATAAGTCTTAAATAAAGAATACATTTATTCAATCTTATTGAGATTCTGTGCTTTGATCATCATCTCCCCACTCCCCCCGCCCAGTTCCCTTACACAAGTAACCATCATTCTAGTCTCTGCTTTTGTGAGTTTTTTAGATTCCTCATATGAGTGAGAACATGCGGAATTTGTCTTTCTGTGCCTGATTTTGCTTTGCATAATGTTCTCCAATTCCATCCATGTTGTTGCAAATGATGAAATTCCCTTCTTTTCTAAAGTTGAATAGTACTCCATTACACAACATTACTATATTTTCTTCATCCATTCATCTTTTGGCAGACATTTTCAATGATCTGATATTTTGGCTATTGTGAATAATGCTGCAATGAATATGGGTGTGCAAACATATGATTTCAGATCAGTTTGACAAATTGATTTCAAAAATTTGGAGTAAATATCCAGAAGATTGATTCCTGGCTCATACCATAGTATTTTTGGTTTTGTGAGAAACCTATACAGTTTTCCATATGTCTATGGCAGTTTGCATTTCCACCAAAAGTGTTTTCTCCGCATCCTTGCCAATACTTGTTATCTTTTGTCTTTTTTGGTAATAGCCATTCTAACAGGTGTGAGATGATACCTCATTGTGGCTTTGATTTGCATTTCCCCAAAAATTAGTGATGTTGAGCATTTAAAAATATACCATTTTTTATGGATGAATAGTACTCCATTGTGCATACATGTAACATTTTCTTTATTCATTCATCTGTTAATGAACAATTCAGTTGCTTCCAGAACTTTGCTATTGTGAATAGTGCTGCAATGAACATGGGTGTGCAGACATCTCTCCAGCAAACTGATTTCAGGTTTTTTGGGTAAATACCCAGAAGTGGGATTGTTAAGTCATATGATAATTCAATGTTTAGTTTTTTGATGAATCTCCATATGGTTTTTCATAATGATTGTACTAATTTACATTTCTACCAACTGTGTACAAGGGTTCCCATTTCTCTACATTCTCACCAACACTGGTTATCATTCGTCTTGTTAATAATAGCCATTCTGACAGGTGTGAGATGATATTTCACTGTGGTTTTAAAATTGTCTTTCCTTAATGACTAGTTGGTGTTGAACATTTTTTATACAGGTCTTGTCCATTTGTACATTTTTTGAGGACTGTCTATTCAAGTTCCTTGACTATTTTTAAATTTTCTTTTTTGTTTTCTTGCTCTTGAATTGTCTGAGTGCCTTCTATATTTTGGATATTAACCCCTTATAGGATGAATAACTTGAAAAATATTTTCTTCCAATCAATAAGTTCTCTCTTCATGCTGTTGTTTCTTTTGCTGTGCATAAGCTTTTTAGTTTGCTATAATCCCATTTGTCTATTTTGCTTTTGTTGCCCATGCTTTTGGGTCAAACACAAAAAATATATTGCTCAGATCAATCAATATCGTGTCATTTTATCTTTGTGTATTCTTACAGCAGTTTTATGTCTCTGGTCTTATCTTTAAGTCTTTGGTCCATTTTGAGCTTATGTTTATATATGTTGTGAGATAAAGGTTTATTTTCTTTCTTCTGCATGTGGATATGCAACATACACAACACCATTTATTAAAAAGACTATCCTTTTTCCATTATGTATTTTGGCACCATTATTAAAATGCAATTGACTATATATGCATGGGTTCATTTTTGGACTCTCTTTTCTATTTCATTGGTTAGAATGTCAAATTTTGCCAGTATCATGTGGTTTTAATTACTCTAGATTTATGACATTGTTTGAAATCACATAGTGTGATACTTTCAGCTTTTTTCCTTTTGCTTGTGTTTGCCTTGGCTGTTTGGGATTTACTGTGGCTCTTTCAAGTATGTCCAATACTACGTTGAACAGAAGTAGCAATAGTATAGGCATCCTTGTCTTGTTTTGGGTTTCAGAGGAAATGCTTCCAGTTTTTCATCATTGAGTATATTAGCTGTGGGCTTCTCATATATGGTCTTTATTGTGTTGAGGTACATTCCTTCTATATCTAATTTGGTCACAGTTTTTATTATAAAAAGATAACGAATTTTGCCAACTGTTTTTTTCTCCATCTGATGAGGTGATCATATGCTTTTTCTTCATTGTGTTAAATTGATGTATCACATTTTTGATTTGCATATGTTGAACCTTCCCTGCATCCCAGAGATAAATCCCACTTATCATGATGGATTATTTTTTTCATGTGTTGTTTAATTAGGTTTGCTGGTATTTTGCTGAGAATTTTTCCATTTATGTTCATCATCAAGGCTATTGGCCTGTAGTTTTCTTTTTTTGTGATGTGCTTGTCTGGCTGTGGTATCAGGGCAATGCTGGCATGGTAAAATGAATCAGAAAATATTCCCTACTTTTCAATTTTTGGAAAAATTTGAGAAGGATTAGTATTAGTTTTTCCTGAAATGTTCTGTAGAATTCAGCAGTGAAACCACCAGATACTGGGCTTTTGTTTGATGGGAAACTTTTTTAATAATTCAAATCTTCTTATTCATTATTGGTCTGTTCAACTTTTCTATTTCTTCATGATTTAATCTTGGTAGGTTTTATGTGTCTAGGAATGTATTCATTTCCCTTAGGTTATCTAATTTGTGAGGTGTAATTGTCCAAGTAGTATTTTGTGATCTTTTGTATTTCCATGATATTAGTTGTAATGTCCTATCTTTCATTTCTGATCTTATTTGTGTCTTCTGTCTTATTAATTTTGTTAAACGTTTGTTGATTTTATTTTTTAAAAACACTAACTCTTACTTTTGTTGATCTTTGGTATGATTTTTCTAGTCTTGATTTCATTTTTTTCTGCTCTGATCTTTATTATTCACGTCTGCCTGGTAACTTTGGGCTTAGTTTTTTCTTCTTTTTCTATTTCCTTGAGAACTAACATTAAGTAGTTTATTTGTGAATCATTTTTAATGTAGGCATTTATTGGTATAAAATTTTCTCTTTGCTGCACTTCATAAGTTTTGGAACATATTGGCTTTTTCTCTATTTTTTTTAATTTTAAATAGTGGGCACATAGTAGGTGTATGTATTTATGAGGTACATGAGATGTTTTGATATAGGCATGTAATGTGAAATAAGCACATCATAGAAAATGGGATATCCATGCCTTCAAGCATTTACCTTTTGAGCTACAAACAATCCAATTACACTCTTTATTTAAAAAATACAATTAAGTTATTATTGACTATAGTCACCCTGTTGTGCTGTCAAAGAATAGGTCTTATTCATTTTTTTAACTCTATTTTTTGTGTCCACTATCTCCACCAAGTTTGGAAACATGTTGTTTTTATATTTGTTTGTCTGAAGATGTTTCTAAATTTCCCTTCTAATTTCTTCATTGACCCATTGGTTTTTCGTGCACATGTGGTCTAACTTTCATGTATTTGTGATTTTTCCATAATTTTTACTGTATTTTATTTCTAGTTTTATACCATTATTATTGCAAAACATGTTTGTTGTGATTTCAGTCTTCTTAAATTTGCTAAATTTTGTTTTGTGTCATAACATGTCTATCCTGGAAAATGTTTTGTGTGTGTGCACTTAAGAAGAATGTGTACTTTGTTGTTGTTAAATGGAATATTCTGTACATGTTTGTTAGGTCTATTTTTAATATTTTGGTTTACATCTAATATTTTCTCCTTGATTTACTCTGTGGATAATATGTCCATTGTTGAAAGAGTAATATTGAAGTCCCCTACTATTGTATTGCAATCTACGTCTCTCTTAAAATCCTTTAAAATTTGTTTTATATATTTAGATGCTCCAATGTTGTAGGAAGATATATTTACAATTGTAATATTTATTTGATAAATTTGTTTTTTATCATTATGTAATAAGTTTCTAAGTTTCTTTTTACAGTTTCTGACTTACAGTCTACATTGATATAAGTATGACTATCCATGCTCTCTTTTAGTTTTTATTAGCATGGAATATATTTTTTTCTTTCTTTCACTTT
The DNA here is from genome assembly GCF_000001405.40 of Homo sapiens. Taxonomy (NCBI): domain Eukaryota; kingdom Metazoa; phylum Chordata; class Mammalia; order Primates; family Hominidae; genus Homo; species Homo sapiens. The sequence goes on along the minus strand of NC_000004.12, from coordinate 91,710,608 downwards.
CAGTGTATGTATGTTCTTAAAAGTGAAGTGAATCTCTTATAGGCAATATATAAGTAGCTCTTGATTCTTTTCTTTTTTCTTTTTTTGAGATGTTGTCTCACTCTGTCGCCCAGGCTGGAGTGCAGTGGTGCAATATCGGCTCACAGTAACCTCTGCCTCCCGGGTTCAAGCAATTCTTGTGCCTCAGCCTCCTGAGTAGCTGGGACTACAGGCATGTGAGAACATGGCCGGATAATTTTTGTAATTTTAGTGGAGACACTGTTTTGTCATGTTGGCCAGGCTGGTCTTGAGCTCCTGACCTCAGGTGATCCCTCTTCCTTGGCCTCCCACAGTGCTGGGATTACAGGAGTGAGCCACCGCACCCAGCCAATTCTTTTAGCTATTGTCACTCTATGTCTTTTTATTGAATAATTAAATGCATTTACATTAAAGGTAGTTATTGATAGGTAAGGACTTACTGCCATTTTGTTCACAGTTTTCTGGTCGTTTTATAGACACTTTGTTTATTCCTTTCATTCTTGCTGTCTTCCTTTGTGGTCTGATGGGTTTTTATAGTGATATGCTTTGAATCATTTCTATTTTTATTTTGTGCTTTTATTAAGTGTTTTGCTTTGTCATTATCATGCAGCTTACATAGACCATCTTATAACAGTCTATTAAAAGCCAATAACAAGCTAACTTTGAATGTATACAACCCTAAACATTTATTCCCTCCTCCATTTGTGTTTTTGATGACAGAATTTCCATCATTTATAAAATGTATCCTTGGGTAATATTAGCTGTAGTTTTTTTTTAAATAGTTGTTATATTAGCCCTTGTTCTAGGAATAAAATTGTTTTACCGTCATTAAAGTCCTACTGTATTCTAAATATGTCTCTGTTTTACTTATACCATTGAATTCTGTGATTTCTTATGCTTTATGTTATTAATTAGAAACTTCTGTTTTAGTTTAAATAACTCCGTTTAGCAATTCATGTAAAACAGCTCTGGCAGTGAAAAGCTCCCTTAGCTTTTGTTTGTCTGGAAAAGTTTTTCTTTGTCTCTTATTTCTGAAAAACGGCTTTGCTAGATAGAATATTCTTGGTTAGTAATTTTTTTTCATTCAGCTCTTTAACTATATCATCCCACTCTCTCCTGGCCAGTAGGGTTTCTGCTGAGAGATCTGATAGTCATATTGGCACTAATTTATATGTAATGCGCATTTGTCTCTTGCTGCTTTCAGAATTTTTTTGTCTTTGATATTGGTACTTTGATTACTATGTGTCTTTATAAACTTCTCTTTGGGTTAAATTTAGAGAGCTCTGCACTTCCTATACCTGTATGTTGGTGTCTAACATCAAATTAAGAAAATTTTCAATCATTATTTCTTTAAATATACTTTCTAGTGCTCTTTTTTGCTTCCTTCTTCTCTATACCTCTTATTATGTGAAGGTTTGGACTCTTCATGGTGTCTCATAATTTCTGTAGGCTTTCTTGATTCTTTGCAATCATTTTGTCTTTTTACTCCTCTGGTTAACTTTAAATATTCTTTCAGCTCACTGATTCTTTCTTCTGCTTGGTTACGTCTGCCATTGAAGATTTCTATTAAATTTTTTGGTTCCATCATTGTATTTTTTATCTCTAGGATTTATATTTGCTTCTCCTTTATTGCTTCTATTTTCTTGACAAATTTTTCACTTTGGGTATTGTTTAACAATTTCATTGAATCTATTTATGTATTCTTGTAGTTTACTGAACATTTTAAAGAGAATTATTCGGAATTATTTGTTAGTGAGCACATAGATCACCATTTTTAAAATCTATAGATAGAATATTTTCAGTTCCTTTTGGAGGCGTCATTATTTTCTAATTTTTCATAATCTTCCTGTCCTTGTATTGTTGTCTGTGCATTTGAGGACACAGCTCCCTGTTCTGGACTATACAGGTTTTCTTTGGCAAAAATAGACTTTCACTCTTTCTTTAGGCTGTGACTCTGGAGGGGCCAGCTAGTGATGACTCTGGGCAGGCAGAGCTTATTGTAGGTCTAGTTAACTGGGCGATTGCCTTTGCAGGGATGTCAGGTGGGGCTCCTCTGTCTGGTGGACACTGAGTTTCTTCCATAACATAGCTATTGTGAAAAAGACTGCAACGGAAATAGAAGTACAGAGATCTCTTTGACATACTGAATCTACTTCCTTTTGAAATATACTGAGAAATTGTTTGAAAGCTTGTCCCCTCCAAAATGCATGTTGAAATTTAATTGTCATTGTAATTGCATTAAGAAGTAAAACTTTTGAGAGGTAATTAACCCATGAGAGCCCTTCCATCATGAGTGGGTTTAATATCTTTTAGAAAGGGGATTTTAGGAATGGGTTCTCTCTCTCTCTCTCTGTCTCCTTCTCTCTCTCTTTCTCCTTATCTCATTCCCTCTTAGCTTTTCTGCTCTTCTGCTATGTAAAGAAGAGTGTTTCTCCTCTCCAGAGGATGCAGTATCCAAGGCACTAGACTGGAAGCAGAGACGAGGCTCTTATCAGACACCAGACCTACTGACACATTGAAATTGGACTTGCCAGGCCCTAAAACTGTGAGCCAATAAGTTTCTGTTCATTATAAATTAGCTAGTCTGTGGTATTCAGTTCTTGCAGCTCAAAAGGATTAAGACATATGGTAATTCTATTTTTAGTTTTCTGATGAAACTCCATACTGTTTTCCATAATGGCTGTATTAGCTTAGATTCCTAACAACAGTGTACAAGGATTCCCCTTTCTCTACATTCTCACCAACACTGTTGTCTTTTGTCTTTCGGAAAACAGCCATTCTAACAGATGTGAGGTAATCTTTCATTATGGTTTAAATATACATTTCCTTGATGAATAGAAATGTAAAGCACTTTGTCATTTACCTATTTGCCGTTTGTATTTTTTCTTTTGAGAAATGTCTCTTTAGGTTTATAACTACCCGACTCATGACAATCAACAATGCCTTCAGTTATTGACAATGTCTCTAGAGGGACAAAATTATCCCTGTATGAGAAATAGTGACTTAGGAAAATGTAAAACTAGGAATATCACAGTGGAACTAGGAAAACACAGTGAAAGAGTTTAACAAGATAATTACAAAATATTTCAGGATGATTAAAATCCAATTTTTTTATGTTTTTTAATTTTTTAATTTTTTTTTATTTTTTTGCATTGGTAAAATGTCTTTATTTTGTTCTCATACTTTATTTTTGTATTTTTGAATTTTTTTATTATACTTTAAGTTTTAGGGTACATGTGCACAACGTGCAGGTTAGTTACATATGTACACATGTGCCATGTTGGTGTGCTGCACCCATTAACTCGTCATTTAACATTAGGTATATTTCCTAATTCTATCCCTCCCTCCTCCCCCCACCCCACAACAGGCCCCAGTGTGTGATGTTCCCCTTCCTGTGTCCATGTGTTCTCATTGTTCAATTCCCACCTGTGAGTGAGAACATGCAGTGTTTGGTTTTTTGTCCTTGCGATAGTTTGCTGAGAATGATGGTCTCCAGCTTCATCCATGTCCCTACAAAGGACATGAACTCATCATTGTTTATGGCTGCATAGTATTCCATGGTGTATATGTGCCACATTTTCTTAATCCATTCTACCATTGATGGACATTTGGGTTGGTTCCAAGTCTTTGCTATTGTGAATAGTGCCACAATAAACATACGTGTGCATGTGTCTTTATAGCAGCATGAATTATAATCCCTTGGGTATATACCCAGTAATGGCATGGCTGGGTCAAATGGTATTTCTAGTTCTAGATCCCTGAGGAATCACCACACTGACTTCCACAATGGTTGAACTAGTTTACAGTCCCACCAACAGTGTAAAAGTGTTCCTATTTCTCCACATCCTCTCCAGCACCTGTTGTTTCCTGACTATTTAATCATTGCCATTCTAACTGGTGTGAGATGGTATCTCATTGTGGTTTTGATTTGCATTTCTCTAATGGCCAGTGATGATGAGCATTTTTTCATGTGTCTTTTGGCTGCATAAATGTCTTCTTTTGAGAATTGTCTGTTCATAGCCTTCACCCACTTGTTGATGGGGTTGTTTGTTTTTTTCTTGTAAATTTGTTTGAGGAAGGCTGGTTCAACATATGCAAATCAATAAATGTAATCCAGCATGTAAACAGAACCAACGACAAAAACCATATGATTACCTCAATAGATGCAGAAAAGGCCTTTGTCAAAATTCAACAACGCTTCATGCTAAAAACTCTCAATAAATTAGGTATTCATGGGACGTATCTCAAAATAATAAGAGCTATCTATGACAAACCCACAGACAATATCATACTGAATGGGCAAAAACTGGAAGCATTCCCTTTGAAAACTGGCACGAGACAGGGATGCCCTCTCTCACCAGTCCTATTCAGCATAGTGTTGGAAGTTCTGGCCAGGGCAATCAGGCAGGAGAAGGAAATAGAGGGTATTCAATTAGGAAAAGAGGAAGTCAAATTGTCCCTGTTTGCAGATGACATGATTTTATCTCTAGAAAACCCCATCGTCTCAGCCCAAAATCTCCTTAAACTGATAGGCAACTTCAGCAAAGTCTCAGGATACAAAATCAATGTAAAAAAATCACAAGCATTCTTATACACCAATAACAGACAAACAGAGAGCCAAATCATGAGTGAACTCCCATTCACAATTGCTTCAAAGAGAATAAAATACCTAGGAATCCAACTTACAAGGGATGTGAAGGACCTCTTCAAGGAGAACTACAAACCACTGCTCAATGAAATAAAAGAGCATACAAACAAATGGAACAACATTCCATTCTCAAGGGTAGGAAGAATTAATATCGTGAAAATGGCCATACTGCCCAAGGTAATTTATAGATTCAATGCCATCCCCATCAAGCTACCAATGACTTTCTTCACAGAACTGGAAAAAACTACTTTAAAGTTCATATGAAACCAAAAAAGAGCTCACATTGCCAAGTCAATCCTAAGCCAAAAGAACAAAGCTGGAGGCATCACACTACCTGACTTCAAATTATACTACAAGGCTACAGTAACCAAAACAGCATGGCACTGGTACCAAAACAGAGATACAGACCAATGGAACAGAACGGAGCCCTCAGAAATAATGCCACATATCTTCAACCATCTGATCTTTGACAAAACTGACAAAAACAAGCAATGGGGAAATGATTCCCTATTGAATAAATGTTGCTGGGAAAAACTGGTGAAAATTGTTTAAAAAAAAAAAACATACACAACCATTTCATGTACCTGGAAATTGTCCTAAGGGTCTACAAGAGATGAAGTAACATTTATTCAGGAAATTCTACTAAATCTCAATGAGATCATTAAGCATCTCTGGTAATTGAGCCGCAACCCTCTCCTTCCTTGTGTACCCCAACCAGTTCAGCATGATGGTTGGTCCACTTTGGATATTGCCAAAAAAAAAAGGCTCCCTGTGCCCCAGCACCCAGTCAAGAACTATAATATCTATAATATCTTCCTGATATGGGCAGGCTTCACATTGTTGATGAAATAGATTTCCACAAAATTGTTCAGCAAAATCAATAAATAGATAAATTAAAAACAACAAGTCCCTGAAAGGCATGAGGTATGTTTCTACAATATATTATTTAAAATGCCTAGTTTTCAATATAAAATTACTAAATATAAAGGAAAGTGTGACCCTTACAGGTAGAGTAGGGAGCAAACAACAAAAGCTGCATGCAAGAAGACTTAGATATCAGGTTAAACAAACAAATATAGTACCTCAAAACAGCTATTATAAATATTTTTGAAGAACTAAAGAATCCCATGCTAAAGAATCAAAGAGAATGTTTTATGATAATCAAGCATCAAATAGATAATATAAATAGATATAAAGTTATAAAACAATCAAATGAAAACTTGAGTTGAAAGTAAAATAACTCAGTGAAAAATATACCAGAATAGCCTAAGAGTAGATTTAAGGTGGCAGAAGAAAAACATCGGCAAATGTGAAAATAGATCAATAGAGGTTGTGCAACCCAAAGAAGAGTGGAAAAAAGAATAAAGAAAAATGAACAGATACTCAAAGAACCGTGGGACACATTAAGCAAAACAAAATACACATAATGGGAGTAATAGAAGGAGAGGGGAGAAAACAGCAAAGACTTTTTTTTTTAATAATACCTGAAAACTCCACAAGTTTGATGAAAAACATTAATTTACACATCCAAAGAGTTCAACAAGCTCAGAGAATTATAAACGAAAACATATTCATACACAAACACATCATAATAAAAATTTTGAAAGACAAACTCCTAGAAAGAAACTAAAACCCAAAACTCACTCAAAAAATAAAGATAAAAATCTCAATAAACGAATAATAATTAAAAGATGAATTACTAATTTAAAAAAATCTTCCCATAAACTGATGCTTAGATATAAAATGATTTACTGGTATATACTACCAAATATTTAAAGAATAAATTAATACAATTTTTTGTACAAAGTCTTCCAAAAATAGAAGAAAAGGAAACAACTACCTAACTAGTTCTGTGAGAATAGTATTACCTTGATCCAAAACCAGGGAAAAAGAAAATACAACTTACAAGTTACAAGAAAATATAACTACTGATCCATGACTCTTAGGAATATATATGCACAAATTAACAAAATACTAACACACCAGATTGGGCAACATACAAAAAAAATACTGTCCCATGACCAAGTAGGATATATTTTAGAAATAAAAGGTTGGGTTAGCAATCAGAATAAATGCATGGAATGCCTTGTATCTATAGACAAAGGAGAAAAGCCTCTTAACCCTCTAAATAAACATAGAAAAACATTTAACAAAATCTGACATCCTTTTATGATAAAAACAAATTAAAAAATAAACAGAAACTGTCTCAACTTGATAAAGGGCATCTCTAAGGAACCTACAGCTGATGTCATATTTAATTAATACTGAGTGCTTTCACTTTAAGATGAGGAATAAGAACCCCCAATCTTGCCACTTTTACTCATCATTGTATAAGAGATCCTAACCAGGCCAATTAGGCAAGAAAATAAAATGAAATAATATAAATTAGAAAGGTAGAATTAGAATTATATCTATTTACAGATCATATGAGGTTATGTATGGAGTTTCTTAGGAATCCAGAAAAATAAACTACTAGAATAAGTAAATTCACCAATGTTGCAGTGTATAAGATCAATACACAAAATTGTATTTCTCTAGACTAATGATGAACAATTAAAGGACATTTAGAAAACAATTCTATTTATCTTAACTAAATTATTTCTATAATGAAATTTAGAAAACTCTTCAATTTAACTTAATGTAGAAGGTACAAAACTTATACTGTGAAATAAATATTTTTGAAGGAAATTTAAAAAGATGACAAAATTTTTAAATTGCCATATTCATAAATAGGAAAATGTAATGTTGTTAATATGGAAATATTTCCAAAATTGATATATAGATTAAATGCAATCTCTATCATAAGCTCAGCTGGTGTTTATTCTGAAATTGGCAAGCTTATGTTAAACTTTATATTAAAAGTCAAAATAGCTAAAACAATCTTGCAAAAGGAAGAACAAAGTTGGAAGAGTCATGCTTCAAAATTTTGGAAGTTTATACAAAGCTCTAGTAATCGACAGAGTGTGGTAGTGGCATAAAGACAGATATATGGATTGAGAATATAATTGAGCATCCAGAAAAATACCTATACATTGATGGTCAACGGATTTTTGACAAGAGTGCTAAGACCATTCAATGGGGGAAAGAGTATTATCTTCAACAAGTAGTGCCCAAAGCAGTGGACACTCACATGCAAAAGAAAGAAGTTGAATCTTCAACCTCACACTATAAATAAAAGCTAACTCAAAAGAGATCATATACATAAATGTAACAGCTATAAGTATGAAATGCTTAGAAGAAAAATATAGGAATAAATCCTTGTGATCTTGATTAGCCTACATAGATATGACACCAAAAGCACAAATAGCAAAAGAAAAAAATAAACAAATTGGATGTATCTAAATTGATAACTTTTATGTCATATTTACATACCTATTTTTTAAATTTTCTTTTAGAATTAGTGGGCACATGTGCAGGTTTCTTACATAGGTATATTGCATGATGCTGAGGTTTGAAGTATGAATGAATCTGTCACCCAGGTTGTTAGCATAGTATCCAATAAGTGGTATGTTTTGCCACTTATCCTCTTCCCTTTCTCCCACCTCTTGTATTCCCCAGTGCCTATTGTTCCCATTTTTATGCCATGTGTACTCACTCGTAAGTGAAAACATGCAATATTTGTTTTTCTGTTTCTATGTTAGTTCACTTAGGATAATGGTTACCAGCTGCAAAAGACATGGTTTCATTCTTCTTTAAGGCTGCATAGTACTCCATGGTGTACATATACCACATTTTCCTTATCTAATCCACCACTGATGAGCACCTGGGTTCATTCCATGTCTTTGCTATTGTGAATAGTGCAGCAATGAGCGTATGAGTACATGACTCTTTTTAGTAGAACAAATTATTTTCCTTTGGGTATATACCCAGTAATGGCATTGCACAGTCAAATGGTAGGTTCAACTCACAGTTCTTTGAGAAATCTCCAAAATGCTTTGCTGTTGGGAATAGGCCCCCAAATCTGGCCATAAACTGGCCCCAACACTGGCCATAAAAAAAATCTCTGCAGCACTGTGACATGTTAGTGACGACCATGATGTCCACCCTGGAAGATTGTGGGTTTACCAGAATTAGGGCAAGGAACACCTGGCCCACCCAGGGCAGAAAACTGCTTAAAGGTGTTCTTAAACCACAAACAATAGCATGAGTGATCTGTGCCTTAAGGACATGCTCCTGCTGCAGATAACTAGACAGACCCATCCCTTTACTTTGGCCCATCCCTTTGTTTCTTGTAAGGAATGCTTTTAATCTACAATCTATAGAAACAATGCCTATCACTGGCTTGCTGTCAATAAATATGTGGGTAAAACTCTGTTCACAGCTGTCAGCTCTGAAGGCTGTCAGCCCCCTAATTTCCCACTCCACCCTCTATATTTCTGTGTGTGTGTGTTTAATTCCTCTAGCGCTCCTGGGTTAGGGTCTCCATGACCAAGTTGGTCTCAGCAAGTGGTGTCCATATGTTGGGGCTCGAACCCAGGTCGAAGGGTCACTGGAGCGACGGTTGGAGAATGTGGAACTAAGCTGTAGGACATCTGAGTACTCTTTAAAGCAATCCCCATGGTAAATAAGAAGGGGAGCTCAGAAGCATCAGGGTAACAATGGGACAAGTGTGGGCTCTGGTTTGTTCCACCTCAGAACCTTTTCACACTGATTATGATGAGGAAGGAGAGTATAACAAAGTAACAGAAGACATGACAGAGCAGGTTTGTTTGCCAGCTAAAGCTAAAGCAGCAAAAGAGGAAGAGATTCATCTCTATGCTTCTGCACCCCCTCATTATTTTGAAGAAAAAGAGTGGCCTGACCCTCCAGATCTTTCTTTTCTGGAGGACACTGGGAAAAAAGTAGTTGCCCCAGTGACTGTTCAAGCAGCACCTTGAGCAACTGCTCTCAGTTCTATTCAGGCAGGAATTCAGCAAGCTAGATGAGAGGGTGATTTAGAGGCTTGGCAGTTATCTGTTAGAATACACCCCCCAGATCAACAGGGAAATATAGCCACATTTGAGTCTTTTCCCTTTCAATTACTTAAAGAATTTTAAAAAGCTATTAATGAATATGGACCAGGTTCTCCTTTTGTAATGGGACTGTTAAAGAATGTTGTTATTTCCAGTTGGATTATTCCTACTGACTGGGATGCTCTTACTCGAGCTTGTTTAACTCCTGCTCAGTTCTTACAATTTAAAACTTGGTGGCAGATGAAGCTTCCATTCAGCCTTCTCACATTGCCCAGACCCAACCTTAAATTAATATAACTGCAGACCAACTTTTGGGGTTCAGTGGCTGGGCTGGTTTAGATGCACGAGTGGTCATGCAGGATGATGCCATAGAGCAGCTTAGAGGAGTGTACATTCAAGCTTGGGAAAAAATCACTTCAGGTGGAGAACAATACCCTTCCTTTAGTGCTATGAAACAGGGACCAAAAGAACCATACATGGATTTTATAGCTCAGTTACAGGAGTCTCTTAAAAAGGTAATTGCAGATTCGGCTGCTCAGGATATAGTGTTGCAGTTATTAGTTTTCAACAATGCTAATCCCAATTGCCAGGCTGCTCTGGGACCTATTAGAGGGAAGGCACATTTAGTTGATTATATCAAGGTCTGTGATGGTATTGGAGGTAATCAGCATAAAGCTACTTTGTTGGCACAGGCAAAGGCAGGACTGAGAGTGGATAAAGGAAATACTCCATTTCCTGGAGCTTATTTTAACTGCTGGAAGCATGGTCATATTAAAAAAGAATGTAGAAAAAATCAGCAAGTCAGGCAGGCAGATAGGGAAAAAAAGAAAACTGCTGAGCCTGAAGTATGTCCAAAATGTAAAAAAGGAAAACATTGGGTAATCAATGTCACTCTAATTGATAAAGTTGGGACCCTGATTTCGGGAAATGCCATGAGGGGCCCGTCTCAGGCCCCATTAGAAACCAGGGCATTTCCAGCTCAGGCCATTCCCTCACCCCTGTACAATGTCTGTCCCCCACCACAGCTGGTAGTGCTGCAGTAGATTTATGCTGCACAAAAGCTGTGAGTCTTCTGTCTGGGGAACCCACGCAAAAGGTCCCAACAGGGGTCTATGGACCCTTGCCAGCAGGGATGATAGGATTACTTCTAGGAAGGTCTAGTTTAAACTTAAAAGGGGTACAAGTACAAACAGGAATCATTGATTCAGATTACAAAGGGGAAATTCAAATTGTTGTATCTACTTCTGTTCCCTGGAAAGCAGAGCCAGGAGAGCACATAGCACAGCTCCTGATTGTGCCGTATGTGGAAATGGAAAAAAGTGAAATTAAATGAACAGGAGGATTTGGAAGCACAAATAAGGCAAAGCAGCTTATTGGGTGAATCAATTACTGATAAACAACCTACGTCTGAAATAACTATTCAGGGAAAGAAATTTAAAGGTTTGGTAGATACAGGAGTGGACATTTCAATTATTTCTCTGCAGTATTGGCTGTCTGAGTGGCCAGTTCAACCCACTCAATTTAATGTAGTTGGAGTTGGTAAACCCCCTGAAGTCTATCAAAGCAGTTATATTTTGCTTTGTGAAGGGCCTGATGGACAACCTGGGACTATTCAACCAATTATAACTTCTGTACCTATAAATTTATGGGGAAGAGATTTATTACAACAATGGGGAGCACAAGTTCTAATTCCAGAACAATTATATTGCCCTCAGAGTCAACATGTGATGCATGAAATGGGGTATGTCCCTGGTGTGGGACTAGGCAAAAATTTGCAAGGTTTGAAAGAACCACTTAAAGCAGAAAGACAAAGTTCCTGCCAAGGTTTAGGCTATCATTTTTGATGGTGGCCATTGTAAAACCTCCAGAACCTATACCTTTAAAATGGTTAACAGATAAGCCAATTTGGATGGAACGATGGCCACTAAATAAAGAGAAACTGGAGGCTTCAGAGGAATTACTGAACAATTAGAAAATGGGCACATAGCTCCAACATTTTCCCCTTGGAATTCTCCAGTTTTTGTAATTAAGAAAAAATCAGGTAAATGGAGAATGTTAACTGACTTAAGAGCCATTAATTCAGTTATACAACCTATGGGGGCATTACAGCCAGGATTGCCTTCTCCTGCTATAATTCCAAAAAATTGGCCTTTAGTCGTCATAGATTTAAAAGACTCTTTCTTTACTATCCCCTTAGCGGACAAGACTGTGAATGGTTTGCGTTTATAATTCCTGCAGTAAACAACCTGCAGCCTGCTAAGCATTTTCACTGGAAAGTGTTGCCACAAGGCATGTTAAACAGTACAACAATTTGCCAGACTTACGTAGGGCAAGCAATTGAACCTACTCCTAAAAATTTTTCACAGTGTTACATTATTCATTATATGGATGATATACTTTGTGCTGCCCTCACTTGAGAAATATTACTCCAATGTTATGATCACTTGCAAAATTTGATTTCTTGTGCTGGTTTAATTATAGCTCCTGACAAAATTCAAACTACTACTCCCTACTCCTACTTGGGGACCTTAGTAAATGACTCTACCATTGTGCCACAGAAAGTAGCCATAAGTAGGGATCAATTGAAAATTTTTAAATGACTTTCAAAAATTACTAGGGGGCATTAATTGGATACGACTTGCTCTAGGCATTCCTACCTATGCCATGAGTAATCTATTTTCTATCCTTAGAGGAGATCCTATTCTCACTATCCCTTGGCAATTAACAAAGGAGGCTGAGGCAGAGTTACAGCTAATCAAAAAGTAAGTCCATAAAGCCCAAATAAATAGAATAGATCCAGAGAAGACTCTAGATTTGCTAATTTTTCCAACTCAGGATTCACCTACTGATGTTATTATCCAAGAGCAGGACTTAGTAGAATGGCTTTTTCTTCCACATACTAATTCACAGACTCTAATTCCTTATTTGGATCAAATCGCTACTATGGTAGGAAATGGGAGAACTCGGATTGTTAAATTACACAGATATGATCCTGGAAAAATTATTGTCCCTCTCACAAAGGCAAAAATACAGAAGGCTTTTATAAATAGTCTTACTTGGCAAATCCATTTAGCTGACTGTGAGTATTCTCGATAATCATTTTCCTAAAATGAAACTGTCAATTTTTTAATTGGTTATTCCTGTGTTTCTCCAGGACTGAATCAACAGCCGATTTGGATACCATCAAGACACTTGAAACCTTATCATGAGCCAGATGTCAAGGAAGAGATTCTGGAAGGATCCTAAGGACCACCCCGCTTGCAGCCATGTCAAGACTGATGCTGAGGAGGACCCCAACTGTCACGAGTAACACCCGTCGACACAGCCACCTACCTGGGGACAGATCAAGAAGCTGTCACAGATGGTGGAAGAAAACCTAAGGAAAGTGGGACAATTAGTCACAATGAGTAATTTAATGATAGCTATGATAGTGGTGATCACCATTCCCATGAGTATTCCTTCAACAAGGGCTGACACAGAGAACAGTTATACTTATTGGGCATATTTATCAATCTTGGCTGGCAATAATGCCTGGATGTAATCACTCTATGACACAGTTACACATGCTTTCTGATCTCAGTATTTACCATAATAAATCTGCTCCTATAATTAAGGCATACCGCCCTCACAAACCTATTTGTAAACAGGATTGGACCCAGTCAGAAAAAATGAACAGTTGTTTGGGAAGATTTCATTGCAGAACAGGTGGAGGTGCTGTGCAATGATTCCTATGGAATCATTATTGATTGGTCCCCTAAGGGGATGTTTAGCTTAAATTGCACCCCTCAGTCTGTGTGCCACAGCCACACTATGTTCAGCTGGTCTGAACAAAACAGTCAGATGGTAGAAATGGTAAGAAGTATGTCAAGAGTTCCTATTATCTGGAACCATGGTGGTATAGTGGCACCTCAACCTCAAATGATATGGCCCATTGTAGGAGCTAAACATAAGGATTTGTGGAAACTATTAATAACTATTAATAAGATACAAATTTGGGAAAGAATAAAAAATCATCTAGAAGGACACTCTACAAACTTCTCTTTGGATATTACAAAATAAAAAGAAAAAAATTTAAAGCATCCCAGGCACACCTGAACTTAATGCCAGGAACTGGAGTGTTTGAAGGAGCTGCAGACAGATTAGCAGCTAATAACCCATTAAAATGGATAAAAACACTTGGAAGCTCTGTGATTTCAATGTTGATTGTGCTTTTAATCTGTGTTGTTTGTGTTTGTATAGTCTGCAGATGCTGATCCTGACTCCTGCAAGGAGTAGCTCGCCATGACAAAGCTGCCTTTGCTTTTATCGCTTTGCAAATCAAAGAAGGTGGACATGTTGGGAATAGGCCCCCAAATCCGGCCATAAACTAGCCACAAGACTGGCCATAAATTTTGTTTAAAATCTCTGCAGCAATGTGACATGTTCGTGATGACCATGTCGTCCATGCTGGAAGGTTGTTGGTTTACCTGAATGAGGGCAAGGAACATCTGGTCCACCCAGGGTGGAAAACCGCTTAAAGGTGTTCTTAAACCACAAAAATAGCATGAGTGATCTGTGCCTTAAGGACATGCTCCTGCTGCAGATAACTAGACAGACCCATACCTTTATTTCCAATAAGGAATACTTTTAGTTAATCTATAATCTATAGAAACAATGCTTATCACTGGCTTGCTGTCAATAAATATGTGGGTAAAACTCTGTTCATGGTTCTCAGCTCTGAAGGCTGTCAGCCCCCTGATTTCCCACTCCATGCTCTATATTTCTGTGTGTGTGTGTGTGTCTTTAATTCCTCTAGCACCGCTGTGTTACAGTCTTAACGACTGAGCTGGTCTCGACACTTTCTATACTTGCTGATATGGTTTGGCTGTGTCCCAGTGCAAAATATCATCTTGAATTGTAATCCCTATAATTCTCATGTGTCAAGGGAGAGATCAAGTGGAGGTATTTGAATCATGGGAGTGGTTTCCCCCATGCAGCTCTTGTGATAGTGAGTGAATTCTCACAAGATCTGATGTGTTTTATAAGTGTGTGGTAGTGCCTCCTGCATTTATTCTCCTTCCTACTGCCATGTAACGAAGGTGCCCTGCTTCCTCTTTGCCTTCTGCCATAATTGTAGGTTTCCTGAGGCCTCCCCAGCCATGCAGAACTGTAAGTCTATTAAACCTTTTTATTTTATAAATTACCCAGTCTCAGGCAGTTCTTTATGTCAGTGTGAGAACGAACTAATACAGTAAATTGATACTGGTAGAGTGGGGGTACTTCTATAAAGATACATGAAAATGTGGAAATGACTTTGGAACTGGGTAACAGGCAGAGGTTGGAGCAGTTTCGAAGGCTCAGAAGAAGAAAGAAAGATGTGAGAAAGTTTAGAACTTTTTAAAGACTTGTTAAATGGTTTTAGCCAAAATGCTGATAGTAATAAGGACAATGAAGTCTAGGCAGAGGTGGTCTCAGATGGAGATAAGGAACTTGTTGGGAACTGGAATAAAGGTGATTTTTGCTATGCTTTAGCAAAGAGGCTGGTGGCATTTTGCCCTTGCCCTAGATCTGTGGAACTTTGAACTTGAAAGAGATGATTTGGGGTATTTGGCAGAAGAAATTTCTAGGCAACAAAATGTTCATGATATGACTTGGGTGCTCTTTAAAACATTCAGTTTTCTGCATTCACAAAGAGATGGTCTGGAGTTGGAATTTATGTTTAAAAGAGAAGTAGAGCATAAAAGTTTGAAAAACTTGCAACCTGCTGGTGCAATAGAAAAGAAAAACCCATTGTGTTAATCTGTCCTCATGATGCTATAAAGACATACCTGAGATTGCATAATTTATTTTTAAAAAGTAGTTCAATTCACTCACAGTTCTTCACAGCTGAGGAGATATCAGGAAACCTACAATCATGGCAAAGGGAAAGCAAACACATCCTTTTTCACATGGCATCAGGAGAGAGAAAAGCAGAGCAAAGAGGGAAAATCCCCTGAAAAAACCATGAGATATTTTGAGAGCTCACTATCATGTGAAGAGCTTGGGAGACTGCCCCCATCATTTAATGAGCTCCCACACATGTGGGGATTACAATTCTGATTACGATTCAAGATGAGATTTTGGGTGGGGACACAGTCAAACCATATCATTCTGCCCATGGCCCCACCCAAATCTCATGTCCTCATATTTCAAAACACAATCATTCCTTTCCAACAATCCTCCCAAATCTGCCAGATACCCTAAATCATCTCTCTGAAGTTCAAACTTTCACAGATTTTTAGGGCATGGGCAAAAGTCACCAATCCCTTTGCTAAAGCATAGCAAGAGTCACCTTTACTCCAGTTCCCAACAAGTTCCTCATCTCCATCTAAGACCACTTCATCCTGGACTTCATTGTCCAAATCACTATCAGCATTTTGGTTAAAGCCATTCAAGTCTCTAGGAAGTTCCATACTTTCCCACATCCTCCTGTCTTCTTCTGAGCCCTCCAAACTGTTCCAGCCTCTGCCTGTTACCAATTCCAAAATTGTTTTCACATTTTGGGGTATCCTATGGCAGCATTCCACCTGCTGTGGCACGAATTTACTATTTTAGTTCATTCTCACCTGACTATAAAGACATATGTGACACTGGGTAATTTATAAAGAAAATAGGTTTAATTGACTCACTGTTCTGCATGGCTGGGGAGGCAGCAGGAAATTTACAATGATGGCAGAAGGGGAAGTAAATATGTCCTTCTTCACGTGGTGAGAGGAGAGAGAAATGCAGAGTGAAAGGGGCACAGTCCCTTATAAAAACAATCAGATCTTGTGAGAACTCATTCACTATCATGAGAACAGTATGGGGGAGCCACCCCCATTATCTAATCACCTCCCATGAGGTCCTTCCCCCCACATGTGGGATTACAATTCCGATTACAGTTCGAGATGAGAGTTTAGGTGAGGACGCAGCCAAACCATATTACCCATTTTCTGAGAAGAAATTCAAGCCTGCTGCATAAATTTGCATAAGAAAGGAGAAGCCAAATGTTAATCACCCAGACAATGGGGAAAATGTCTCCAGGACATGTCAGAGGTCTTCGCAGCAGCCCCTTGTATCATAGGTCCAGAGATCTATGAAAAAATTGGTGTTGTGGCCAGGCCCAGGCCCTTGCTGCTTTTTGCAGTCTCAGGACTTGGTGCCCTGCATCCCAGCTGTGGCTAAAAGGGGCCAATGTACAGCTCAGGTCATTGCTTCAGAGGGTGCAAGCCCTAAGCCTTGGTGGCTTACACATGGCGTTAGGCCTGCAGGTGCACAGAAATCAAGAATTGAGGTTGGGAACCTCTGCCTAGATTTCTGAGGATGTATGGAAACACTTGGATGCCTAGGCAGACATTTGCTGCAGGGGTGGAGCCCTCATGGAGAACGACTGCTAGAACGGTGTGGAAAGGATATGGGGGTTGGATCCCCCACACAGTGGCCCCACTGGGCCACTGCCTAGTAGAGCTGTGAGAAGAGGGGCATGGTTCTCCAGACTCCAGATGGTAGATCCACCAAGAGCTTGCACCCTATGCCTGAAAAATCCACAGACACTGAACGCCAGCCCATGAAAGCAGCCGAGGAGGCCTGTACCCTGCAAAGCCACAGGGGCAGAAATGCCCAAGGCCATGTCAGCCCATCTCTTGCATCAGCATGACCTGGATGTGAGACTTAGAGTCAAAGGAGATCATTTTGCAGTTTTAAGATTCGACTACACCACTGGATTTCAGACTTGCATGGGGCCTGTAGGCCCTTCGTTTTGGGCAATTTCTCCCATTTGGAATGGGTGTGTTTACTCAATGCCTGTATCCCCATTGTATCTAGGATGTGACTAACTTGCTTGTGATTTTACTGGCTCATAGACAGAAGGGACTTGCCTTGTCTCAGATGAGACTTAAGACTTGGAATTTGGGCTAATGCTTGAATAAATTAAGATTTTTGAGAATTGATGGAAAAGTATTGAGGACATGGTATTTCAGCAGGGCCAGAGGCAGAATGATATGGTTTGGCTGTTTCCTCACCTAAAATCTCACCTTGAATTGTAATCCCCGTAATCTTCACATGTCAAGGGAGAGACCAGGCGGAGGTAATTTAATCATGGGATCGGTTTCTTCCATGCTGTTCTTGTAATTGTGAGTGAGTCTTCCCAAGATCTAATCATTTTATAAGTGTGTGGCAGTGCCTCCTGCATTCATTCTCCCTCCTGCCATCTTGTGAAGAAAGTGCTTTGCTTCACCTTTGCCTTCTGCCATGATTGTAAGTTTCCTGAGGCCTCCCTAGCCATGTGGAACTGTGAGTCAATTTAACCTCTTTCTTTTATAAATTACCCAGTCTGGGGCAGTTCTTTATAGCAGTGTGAAAACAGACTAACACAGCGGCCAAAATAATTTACATTCCCACCAACAGTGTGTAAGTGTTCCCTTTTCTCTGTAGCCTCATCAACATCTGTTATTTTTTGACTGTTTAACAAAAACCATTTGAACTGATGTGTGCAGCTTCATTTTTGCATTCTCTGTTCTGTTATATTGGTCTATGTGTCTACTCTTATACCAGTAACATGCTCTTGTGGTTACTGTAGCCTTGGAATCTGCTTGGCTTCTGGGTAGGCCTCAGGAAACTTACAATCACTGTGGAAGGCGACAAGGTAGCAGGCACTTCACATGCACAGAACAGGAGCAAGAGAGAATGAGGGGAGGGAGCCACACACTTTTAAATGAGCAGATTTCATGAGAACTTAATAATTATTATGAGGATAGTGCTAAGGAGATGGCAATGAACCATGCATGAAACACTACCTTCATAATGCAATCACTCCCATCATGTCTCACCTTCAATACTGGGGGTTACAATTCAACATGAGATTCTGTCAGGGACAAATATTCAAAACTATATCACCCCTTTGCTAGGGGATGTGGATTGTACAGAATGTTGTTTAGAGTTTTTTGGCTTTGCTTCTATAGCCCTGTGTACATCAGTCAACTGGTTTTATATTGGGATGTACAATTTGACCCACAGGCTAATAGATGGTACTTGTGGGTAAGAGCTGGCTGTAACCAAGGTAGATGGATACATATTTGATCTTGTGTTCAATTGTAATTCCCTGTATTGGAGGTGGGGCCTGGTGAGAGTGACTGGATCATGACGGAAGTTTCTCATGAATGATTCATCACCATCTCCTTGGTACTGCTCTTGTGATATTGAGTGAGTTATTGTGAGATCTGGTCATTTAAAAGTGTGTGGCATCTCACCCATCACTCTCTCTTGCCCTGGCTTTAGCCATGTGATTTGCCTGCTCCCCCTTCATCTTCCTTCATGATTGTAAGTTTCCTGAGGCCTCTGAAGAAGCAAAGCAGATGCCAAGCAGATGCCAACATCATGCTTCCTTTACAGACTATGGAGCTATGAGCCAATTAAAACTTTTATCTTTATAAATTACCCAATCTGAGATTTTTCTTTATAGCAATGTAAGAATGAACTAACATGGGGTTGGGAGGGGGCAAAAAAGCAACAACAAAGGAAACTTCAATATTATTATAGGGAAAGGAAGAAAGGAAAATAAATTATGGTACTATGTAAAATCTGAATGTTGTGATACCACCAAAGAATCATATCACCTCTCCAGTAATGCTCCCT
Organism: Homo sapiens; assembly: GCF_000001405.40. Lineage (NCBI taxonomy): Eukaryota > Metazoa > Chordata > Mammalia > Primates > Hominidae > Homo > Homo sapiens. The sequence goes on along the minus strand of NC_000004.12, from coordinate 91,691,360 downwards.
AAAGAAAATGGAAACTCAAAAATAACAGATGAAGAATTCAAAGCATGGATTACTAGGAAGCTCAATGAGATCTAGGGCAAGGTTGAAAATTAACACAAAGAAACCTTTAAAGCAACCCAGGAAATGAAGAAAGAGATAAACATTTTAAAGAGAAATCTATTGGAACTTCTGGAACAGAAAAATTCACTTAAGGAATTTTGAAACACAACTGAAAACTTTATCAATAGACTAGACAAAGGAGAGGAAATAATGTTAGAGCTTGAAAGACAATCTTTTGTTCTAGCCCAGTCACACAGAAAGAAAAAAAAATGAATAAAGTTTTCGAGAAAAAGGATAATGTAAAGCAACCAAATTATTGGCATTCCTTGGAGAGAATAAGAAAAAGTATCAACCTAGAAAATTTATCTAAGGGATTAATCAAAAAAATTCCTAATCTTGCTAGAGGGGTACACATCTAGGTGTAAGAAATCCAGAAAACACCTGTAAGAAAGTATACAAAATGAACATCACCAAGGCATATACTCACCAGAGTGTCTAAGTCAGTGCCAAAGGTAAAATCTTAAAAGCAGCTACAAAAAAGAGTCAGATCACATACAGAGGTAACCCTGTCAGGTTAATAGTGGACTGCTAAGAAGAAACATTAAAAGCCAGAAGAGATTGAAGGCCTATTTTCAGCATTCTGAAAAAAAAAATGAAAGAAAAAGAAGTTCCAGCAATGAATTTCATATCCCACCCAACTAAGCTTCATAAGCAAAGGAGAAATAAAATCTTTTCCAGACAAGCAATTACTAAGAGAATTCATTACCACTAGACCAAACTTACAAGAGATTCTGAAGGGAGTTCTAAACATTGAAAAACAAAAAGAGATACCTCTACCACATAAACACACCAAAGTATATAGTCCATAGATACTATAAAGCAAGTACACAATAAAAACTACAAAGCAACATGCTAGCAACTTCATGATAGGTTCAGCATCTCACATATCAATATTAACCTTGAAATGGTATATGTGACACACTTAAAAGGTAGAGTGGCAAGTTGGAAAGAATAGCAAGACCCATCTCTCTGCTATCTTTCAGAGATCCATCACATGTAATGACATCCATAGGCTCAAAGTAAAGGCTTGAAAAAAGTTCTATCATGCAAACAGAAAACAAACAAACAAAGCAGAGCTTGCTGTTTGTATAGCAGATGAAACAGACATTAATGAAAAACATTAAAAACAGGCAAACAAAGACACTACATATGATAAGGGGTTCAATTCATCAAGAAGACTTAACCATCCCAAATATATATGCACACAACACTGGAGCACCTAGATTCATAAGATTCTTTCTAGAGCTATGAAAAGATTTAGAAAGCCAAACAATTATATAAGTGGACTTCAACACCCTAGTCACAGCATTAAACAGAATGTCGAGGCAGAAAGCTAACAAATTCTGGATTTTAATTTGATACTTGACCAATTAGAACTAGTTGGCATTTACAAACTACTCCCTCCAGCAACCACAGAATATATATTTTTCTCATCTGCACACCAAACATGCTATAAGATCAACCATATGCTCAGCTATGTAGCAAGTCTCAAAATTCAAAAAAAAATCAAAATCATACCAACCATACTCTCAGACCACATTGGAATAAAAATAGAAGTCAATACTAAGAAGATCTATCAAAACCACACAATTGCATAGAAATTAGACAACTTGCTTCTGAATGACTTTTTGGTAAACAATGAAGGCAGAAATCTTTTTTAAATATATATTTGAAATAAATGAAAACATATCAAGAAGCAACATACCCAAATCTCTTGAATTCAGCCAAAAAAATGTTAAGAGGAAAGTTTATATCTCTAAGCAGCTACATCAATAAGTTATAAAAATCTTAAATTAATGATCTCACATCCCACCTAGAAGAACTAGAAAAATAAGAACAAAGTAACCCAAAAGCTAACAGAAGAAAATAAATAAATAAAATCAGAACAGAACTAAATGAAATTTAGACCCAAAAATACTTAAAAAGGATTAAAGAAAACAAAAGCTGATTTTTGAAAGGATAAACAAAATTGATAGCCTGCTTCTTAGATTAACAAAGAAAAAGAGAGAGAAGATCCAAATAAGCACAATAAAAAATGACAAAGGTGACATTACAACAGATACCATAGAATTACAAAAGATCTTCAGAGTCTATTGTGAACATCTCTATGTACACAAACTAGAAAATCCAGAAAAGATGTATAAATTCTGGCAAACAAACAATCTCCCAACATTGAATCAGGAAGAAATTCAAACCTTTAACAGACTAATACCTAATTCAGAAATGGAATTGGTCATAAAAAATCTAACAGCCATAAAAAGCCCTGGACCAGATGGATTCACAGCTGAACTCTATCAGACATACAGAGAAGAGCTAGTATCAATTCTACTGAAATTATTCCAGAAAATCAAAGAGGAGGAACTCCTTAACTCTTTCTACAAAGCCAGCATCACCCTAATGCTAAAACCTGGCAAAGACACATGCAAAAAAGAAGATATCAGGCTAAAATTGCTGCTGAACATAGACACAAAAATCCTCAACAAAATACTAGCAAACCAAATCCAGTAGCACATCAAAAAGCTAATCCCCCACAGTCAAGTAGATTTTATCCCTGGGATGCAAGGTTGGTTCAACATACACAAATCAATAAATATGATTCATCACATAAACATAAATACAAAATCCAGTAACACATCAAAAAGCTAATCCCTGACAATCAAGTAGACTTTATCCCTAGGATGCAAGGTTAGTTCAAATATACAAATCAATAAATATGATTCATCACATAAACAGAAATAAAAAACTAAACCACATGATCATCTCAATGATGCAGAAAAAGCCTTTGATAATACTAAACATCCCTTCAAGTTAAAAACTCTGATTGAGTTAGTCATTGAAAGAACATACCTCAAAATAATAAGAGCCCTGTCTGACAAACCCACAGCCAATATCATACTGAACATCAAAAAGCTGGACGTGTTCTCCAATAAAACTGGAACAAGATAAGGATGTTCACTCTTACCACTCCTATTCAACATAGTAATGGAAGTCCCAGCCATAACAATCAGGTAAGATAAAGAAATTAAAGGAATTCAAGTAGAAAGGGAAGAAGTCAAACTATCTCTTTTCACTGAAGATATAATTCTATACCTAGAAAATTCTACTGGACCTTAAAAGTGATTTCAGAAATATTTCAAGATACAAAACCAATATACAAAATCAACAGCAATTCAATACGCAAGTGATGTTCAAGTTGAGAGCCAAATCAAAAACACAGTCCCACAAAACAGCACTCCTCCCAAATACACACAAATACCTAGGCATAAATCTAACCAAAAAGGTGAGTGATCTCTACAAAGAGAACTACAGAACACTGCTGAAAGAAACCAGAGATGACATAAATGGAAAAATATTCAATGCTCATGGAGTGGAAAAACTGATATCATTAAAATGGCCATACTTCCCAAAGCAATCTATAGATTCAATACTATTCCTGTTAAACTATCAATGTCTTTTTTCACAGAAATATATTAAAAAAACTATTTTAAAATTCATATGGAACCAAAAAGGAGCCCAAATAGAGAAAGCAATCCTAACCAAAAAGAACAAAGCTGGAAGCAGCACATTTCCTGACGTCAAACTATACGATAACCAAAAAACATGATAATGGTACAAAAACAGACACATAGACTAATAGAACAGAATAGAAGACCCAGAAACAAAGCCATACACCTGAAAATATCTAATCTTATTGACAAAGCTGACAAAAATAAGCAATGGAGAAACGATCCCCTATTCAATAAATGGTCCTGAAATAACTGGCAGAAGAACTTAACTGGACCCCTACCTTTCACCATAAAAAAAAAAAAAACTCAAGATTTTTTCAAGATTCAAATATAAGACCTCAAACTATAAATGCTAAAAGAAAACTTAGAAAATGCTATTATTATTGTTAGCCTTGGCAAAGAATTTATATGTAAGTCCTCAAAATCAATTGCAACAAGAACAAAAATTGACAAAAAGGACATTATTAAATTAAGGAGCTTTCGAACAGCAAAAGAAACTATAACAACCCACAGAATGGGAGAAAATATTTGAAAACTATGCATCCATCAAGTCTAATATGCTGAATATATAAGGAACTTAGCCAGTGAAAAAACAACCCCATTAAAAAGTGGGCAAAGGACATAAACAAATACTTCTCAGAAAAATACAAACAGCCAACAATAATATGACAAAATGCTCAAGATCACTGCTCATCAGAGGAATGCAAATCAAAACCATGATGAGATAGCATCTGCAATTAATCAGGGTTCTCTAGAGGAACAGAATAGGAGAGACATATGTACAAACAGGAGTTTATTAAGTAGTGTTGACTCACACAATCACAAGGTTAGGTCCCACAATAAACCTTTTGCAAGCTGAGGAGCAAGGAAGTCAGAGTCCCAAAACTGAAGAACTTGGAGTCCAATATTCCAGGTCAGGAAGTCCTGTACAGTCTGTGGAACCACGAGCCAATTAAACCTCTTTTCTTTATAAATTACCCAGTCTCCGGTATTTCTTTATAGCAATTTGAGAATGGACTACTACAGAGAGGTTAAGCAATTTGTCTAAGGCCACATTGTTAGTGGTGAAAACATTTTTTTTTCATCCAGGTGAACTCAATCTATATATTATTAAGGAGAGTTAGCCAAATTATATCTATGTGTCTGACAAGTATTAGTCATCTTCTAATGCCAGAACAGACATATCAGCCAAATAGATTCTTCTTGCACAGAATTTCATGAGTATTGCCTGTTGTTATTGGAGTTTACCACACATTATATCGTATCAATTGCCTCTCCCAAGTTAGACTTTACATAGCCCAGAGAAACTCTTTCCATTTAGTATCAATTATTTGACACCCACATCAGAGTTTTTCTTTCATGGAATGCCACTAATAGAATGTAACTGGAGAACAGGAAACAGCATCAGACAATAAATTTGACCATGTGTAGAAATGTGTCTAAGTTGATTCCCTCATTTCTACACAGTGGCAGTGCTGAACTCTGAATTTATTGAGGCTGTGACTTCATTGGTGAAAAATCTGTTTCATTAACTAAAATGTTGATTGGGTATGTGCTGAAAATAAATGAATGAGTAAAAACAATGCATCTATATTATTTCTCCTATTTAATTTATTGCAGTGCTTCTGAATGCTTTTTAAAAGTTGTGCCAGCAAAAGGATGCTCTTCTCATATGCCTTACCTCATATTAAATAATAAGCCTCAAAATACTACTAGAATGTTTATCACTGCTGATGAAATACTCTAAATCCAGTTTCTAAATGTAATGTCAGAATTGCCTTTTTGGACTCATTTTCTTTTTCTTTGTACTACAATATAAATTTGATACACATCATGGAATATTTCATAATTTCAGAATAAAGAAAATGACCAGTAAATTTCATGTTTTGGCTCATTATAGCGATTTTAAAATAACACATAGGGACACATTAGGAGAGAAAACATTTACTGCCCCAGCACCATGTATAGTGAAAACAGCAAAGGTTTTATCAGGAGAATTATGCACATAAATAATAAGGAAGTAGTAGTAAAATAAGAGAAGGAAAAGTATGGAGTATTACTTGAAATGAGAAAAAATTACTAGATTGTCACAATTTTCACAACAGTTCTTCATGTTTCTTTTACAAAACCCAGAGGAAAATAGAAACCTCATGCTTTTATATAATCATTTAATGTTTAAATTTTTCCTTACATTGAGTATTCATTGCAAAGGGAAATACTCTTTAAAGACTTACGCCAGTTTCTCTTATCTTTCATACATTGTGCCAATCCTTGCAGTCATTTTTTTCTTTCAAACTTTGTTCCATATAATTGGATTAGTATTATTATATAATGAATATAAATACCAAATTAATACAGTCCTCACTACTGTGGTTCATTTTCTGGTTTTCTTTTTAATGAACTGTCAGATGTTGCTGTGTTAGTAGAGAAAAGAAGGTGTCACAGACAATTGTTACATACATTTTAAAAATATATGCCTACAGTATCCTAATTCTACTGGATTACAAAATATTCTTCTCTTGCATGTAAACCTGTGCAAATCTTGAAGATTCCAAGAACACGTATATAGACTGACAGCAGAAACAACATGTCATGCTGTTCATTCAGGTTTAGTTCCACTGTTCTGAACAATGGAGATACCACTGTCAAAGGAAGTCATGTGTTTTCTCTCCTGGAAGTAATTTACAAAGCAACTTACAAAATTATTATGAATAGGAAGAGCAACTATTCATGAGTTACATGATGTCTCCTCAATCCATTGCTGTTGGAGAAATTATTTAAACAGAGCAGTAATCTTAGACTAGTAGATTATGAGTTAGGAGACAAAATCATCATTGATTTCCAAGGTGGCTGAAAAATATCCCAGTTTAGATAGATTGTAAATGAGTGTTAATTGAGTCCATTTGGAATCTGCAAATGGAAACAAATGATTCCTCTTCAGGAAAATAAAAAAATAATTCTCACATAAAAATTTCCTCATAAAATGAGTTAATTAGTTAGCAGTTTCTCTATATTAAATAAGCGGGTAAATTTTAATCCTATATGGTAATATAATATTTTTGAAAATTGTATTACTTCTTTAAACTCTGAGCTTCTATGAAACTATCCTTTAAAGAAGGAAATATTTTCTTTATCCATGTCTATCTGTATTCCTGGGCATGCTTACACCAGTTGGGACTCAATACTAAACAGCTAAACATGGTTATCCTGTGGTGATTTTAAAGATATTTATTTTAGCCTTAAACTAACGCTTTATCTCATAATACTGAAATTTTGAATTCATTCATCTTATTTTCTATTTATGTTTTTATTATATAATTAAACTAGCATTCATTTAAAAGTTGTTGAAATGTCCTTTCTTTTACTGGTCAACCTGTTGACCAGCTCAAGCCAGATATCAGTTTACCAAATTGATTGTCTCTTTCTGCTAGATACATATCTAGTCTATATGCCCTAGCTTTATAGTTTATTCTTTTTTGTTTTTTGAAATGGGGTCTAACGTTGTTGCCCAGGCTGGAGTGCAGTGGTGCAATCACGGCTCACTGTAGCCTTGATCTTCCTGGGCTCAAGCGATCCTCCCATCTCAGCATCCCAAGTAGCTGGGATTAGAGGAGCACTCCACCATGCCACGCTAATTTATTACTTTGGTTTTTTTGTTTGTTTCTTTTTTTCTTTTCTTTCTTTTTTTTTTTTTTTTTTGTATTTTGTAGAGATGGGGTTTCACCACGTTGCCCAAGCTGATCTTGAACTCCTGGACTCCACCTTCCTCAACCTCCCAAAATTCTGAGATTACAGGCCAGAGCCACCATGCCTGGCATTTTACTGTTATATGTAGGCATGTGATTGAATTATTCATGTCCCTTACATGTGGGCGGAAGTGATAAACATTACATCAATGCCTGGTCCACTAAAGCATTCCTGGATGTGCTGTTTCCTTCATGATCCTTCTCTGGTGAACTTGGAAATGTTCTTTTAATGATAATTGAGCCATGATGTAGAAGAAACCTGCATCATTAAATCACTTCTTCCTGGAGAATTGCCTACCAATCAGAAGAATCAACTTTGTATTTTCCATAAGCAAGAAATAAATTTCTATTGTTTGAAGCCAAATGTGAATAAATTAGGGTCTTAAAATGGGAAGATGATTCTGGATTATATAAGTGAGCCGAAATGGTTTGGTTGTGTCTCCACCCAAAATCTCATCTTGAATCATAGCTCCCATAATTCCCACAAGTCTTGGGAGGGATTCGGGGGGACGTAATTGAATCAAGGGGGTGGGTCTTTCCCATGCTGTTCTGGGGATGGTGAATAAGTCTCAGAAGATCTGATGGTTTTATAAAGGGGAGTTTCTCTGTACACTCTCTCTTGCCTGCTGCCATGTAGATGTGCCTTTGCTTCTCCTTTGTCTTCCACCATAATTGTGAGGCTCCCCAGCCATGTGGAACTGTGAGTCCATTAAACCTCTTTCCTTTATAAACTATCCAGTCTTGGTTATGTCTTTACTAGCAGCAAAAGAACAGACTAATATACCCATAATCCCCATGCGTCAAAGTCAGGACCAGGTGGAGCTAATTGGCTCATGGGGGCAGATTCCTCCATGGTGTTCTCATGATAGTGAGTGAGTTCTCATGAGCTCCGATGGTTTTATAAGCATCTGGCACTTCCCCTGCTCACACTCATTTTCTCTCCTGCATCCCTGTGAAGAGATACCTTCCACCATAATTGTAAGTTTCCTGAGGCTTTCCCAGTTCTGCAGAACTGTGAGTCAATTGAACCTCTTTTTTTAAATATAAATTACGCAGTGGCAGGTCTTTCCTTATAGCAATATAAGAATAGACGAATGCATGGGCCCAATGCAATCACAAGTGTCCTGATAACAGGGAAGCAGGAGTAGTATAATCAAAGGAGATGTGAATATGGAAACGAAGGTTGGAGTGATGCAAGACCAGAACTCATCAAATGTGGGCAGCTTCTAGAAGTTAAGAAAGGCATGGAAATAGAATCTCCCCTGGAGCCTCCAGAAATAATGGAGCCTTGCTAGAACATTTTAGACTTTTAATCTTCAGAACTGTTTAATAGTACATTGTTTATTGTTTTAAGCCACTAAGTTTGTAATAATGTGTTACAGCATCTACAAAAAGTAATATAATCTTTAAATATGTAAGTACGGATAAAACCTAAACCGTTTGTAGATAAACCCATATTCATGGATGAGGAACCCAAATACAATTTATCATACATATGTATATATTAAAAGATACATATTTGGTTCTTCTGAAATGCAGTCTTTGTATAGATTGTGTCATAAGTATTACTGATATTTTAGGAAATGCAATTATTACCCCCATGTTAGAGTCAGTTAATTTTCTTCACAGAGCATATATATTTGTTTCAGTAGGGTACAGTTCCCAGAAGCTTTTTCTAGCATCGTTGATATAAATTGTGTTTTTTTTCCAGAACCCTGAACATAAGTCAATTAGTAGTAGTAGGGAACCTATGTTAGCTACAATCCCCTCTTTAGGGCCTGGCAATAAATGCGTTCAACCACATTTTTCGAGAATTATTAAATAATTATTGAGAATAAATTCAAATGGAAAGATAAAGTCAAATTTAATAAGTAATAAGAACATGTGAGAAAGATTAACATTTTTAAAATATCAAATCCTATGATTCTATATAGAAGGTTCCCATTTAAACATTTCAAATGTTATCAGGGGTCTGGATTAAGATCCCAGAAATCAGTCAAAAATATAACCTGCTAAAACACACTTGGCAGGAAAACACCATTTGAAGAAACTGTTCTCAGATGGAATTATACAGTAGAACTGTGGACATTTCTGTGACAAAGGAACGAGATGTATGTGTTCATGTGTGTGCATTAGGGTTCTGCCATCTGAGAATCAAGTCCTAAGTGTCACAGGATTACCATTCCTTTCAGAGCCACAAGGACTCCACAACTCAAAGTGCATCTTTAGTTTCAAAGATCAAAGTCTCAGAAGATCCATTCAGAAGGCTTTTAAGGCTGACATTGACTGTATTGGGACAACCTGGACAAGTCATTCATCTTAAGTGACTCAGTCAGCACAGAAATTCCAGGGGAATGGCATGAAAAACATTTTGTCTGAGAACAGAGGAAACAGACTCAGCCTGTGTAAATCCCTTTTAAACTGGGAATGTATTAACTAATTCATTTCAGTCATTGTCAAATAGACAAGGTTCATAATTTTTTAATTTGAGTTTTAAAAAGAAACTCTGTTTTTTTCCCTCCCACTACACACCAACTATAACATATTAAAGTTCATAAAATTCTTTGTATGCAATGTCAAAATTATATCCAGTATATGTATTTGATTGCTTTACACATTGTATTGAAGACAGTAATGTTGAAAATGTCAATGATCAAGGCCAAAGCAAAGCCTGAGTTTTTTGAATGCATTTTCTTCTTAGTTTTATATAGTAGAGTTGCCATGGAAACTGGTGAAAGAGCTAAATTACTTGTTGATTTTGTATATCCCTTATCTTCTGTTCTCCTATTCTGATGCTTAACTGGAAAACTGAATAGGTAGGATTTTTTACATCTTCACCTCCCTTTAAGAATATCCTTCATCTCCATTTAAGAATATTCATCTCCTTTAAAAATTTACAAGAATATTTCCTTGTGGATTCTAAAGTTAGAAATGCAGAAGTCTTTATTTAAAGTTTAAAATGCATTTTATATTACAAAACTTTCTCTTCAGTGACTTGAGTCCATGATTTCATTATCATCACACAATTGTCATATTTAAGGAATGCACAGAGTAGATCTTAGTGCCTAATGTTACCTAAAACATGCCAGCTGTTGAGGTAATACAATTGCAGTACACCTGCATTTAAAGCTGGATGTCCACAGTGGGTGTGTATGGGACAACAGCCAGTAATGACTCCCACTACCTTAGCTTAAGAAAAATATATTAAAGGAAATATAATTATTCAGGCTGAATGACTGTCATCAGTAAAGACAGAAAAAAACAGTATTACTATTTGCCATGGTAAGCTGCTGAAATGCAGCAATGAACTATCAGAAAGGGTGATAGACCTGAAACAAAAGGGTGGCCAGTCTCTTAGGGAGAAACATAACATGATGAAATGGAGTTGATTCAGTGGCATAAGGGTTATTCTGGCAGTATTATTGAAAGAACTAGAAATGAATACTTCAGGGGTTAAAGGATTTGAAAGTTTATATAGAGGATTTGGCATCTAGTTATGAATACTTTAAAAGTGGATTCAAAAATGGCTTCTAACGGCACAGATTTTGGGTGGGAATGGTTTATTATGGAGAGTGTGTGCTTTCTCTCTTCCTCATGCATACATCCCCAAGGGATGTCTGCATAGTTGTGATTTCTCAGTTCAGGAAGTAATATCTCTGGAGTAAAAAAAAAATCTAACCATGCTAAGAAAGGGCATCCCAGGAGAGGAAGGGCTATAAGGAGATTAAAACTACAGGGAATTAGTATACTCCTCAGGGTAGAAACACACAGGAAATCCAATACTGAAAGAATAGATAATTAAAAGTACTATGCACTGGCAAAATTGTTTCATATACAAATTATATATATATAAATTTGTCTCTGTATCATTTTTAAACAATGGACTATAAAGAGATGAAAACTACAGGGAATTAGTATATTCCTCAGGGTAGAAACAAACACACAGGAAATCCAATACTGAAAGAACAGATAAGTAAAAGTACTATTCACTGGCAAGGTTGTGTCATACACAAATGATATGTATTATATATGTATATACATTTGTCTCTGTATCATTTTTAAACAATGAACTAGATTCACATATAATCAAATTAATTGAGCTCAAAAACATTATGTTGAATGCAAAAGTAATATAGGCAATAATATTTACAACATAAATCCAGCAAGATATATTTTCAGATATACATTTGTGTAAATAAAATGATGGAAGTTGGATGGGAGAAGATAGGAATGGAGTTAGGAATTGAGTATAAAATTAGAAAACCAATAAAGTAAATGAAATAAGGACATGAAAATGATACTTTACCAGTATGTGGTAGAATACCACATACTTTGTCCTTAAAAGCAAGTACATTAATTTCTATAGGTATTTTGAATATTAAAATTCAACAAAAATGGAATGTCCCATATCACTCTCCTGTGGGTGATAATAAAAGACCATAGGGAATAAGGATGCTCACATGAATTGAAAAGGGAGTGGGTGCTGCATTTAACCTTCAGTACAAGATAACAAGGAGATGAGTCCACCTGAGGAAAGCCCCTCTAACCTTTGAGGAGACTCCAGGGAGTTTAGGGTCTCAGAAAAAGACCTCAGAATTTTGATACGCATGTCTTTTTCCTCCTCTTTTCTTTTCTGAATGTTCTCAAATTATCTTACATTTTTCTTCAAGGAGTAAATAATTCCTGCCATACCTATTTGAGGAAGAGGGCACAGAGAACTTTGCCTTAAAACAGAGCCCCTATTAGGTCTGAACAAGTTGCTTTCTGTGCTAATGCACGTGGCTAAGGAGGCTGGTATGCATAGAAATGCTGCGTAGCTCTGATCTCCATGCTCCGTGTTTGAGGTGGGGCTGTCTTGGCCACGAAGTGAAGCCCTGTTCTAACATGAGCAATGATGATGAAAGCTTGCCAAGCTGCCTACCTACAGAGCTGATTCTATTCAGAGGGGATGTATTAGTCCATTTTCAAACTGCTCATAAAGACATACCCAAGATTGGGAAGGAAAATAGGTTTAATGGACTTACAGTTCCATGTGGCTGGGAAAGCCTCACAATCATGGAAGAAGGCAAGGAGGAACAAGTCACATCTTACATGGATGGCAGCAGACAAAGACAGGGAGGGCTTGTGCAGGGAAACTCCACATTATAAAGCCATCAGATCTCATGAGCCATCAGATCTCATGAGACTTATTCACTATCATGAGAACACCAAGGGAAAGACCTGCCCCCCCCCATGATTCACTTACCTCCAACCAGGTCTCTCCCACAACATGTGGGAATTTAAGATAAGATTTGGGTAGGGATACAGCCAAACCATATCATTCCATTGTTGGCCCCTCCCAAGTCTCATGTCCTCACATTTCAAAACCAATCACGCCTTCCCAACAGTCCCCAAATTCTTAACTCATTTCAGCATTAACTCAAAAGTCCAAAGTCTCATCCAAGACAAGACAAGTCCCTTTTGCCTGGGAGCCTGTAAAATCCAAAGCAAGTTAGTTACTTTCTAGATACAATATAGGTATAGGCATTGGGTAAATACATCCATTGAAAATGGGAGATATTGGCCAAAACAAAGGGGCCACAGGCCTCATGCAAGTCTGAAATCCAGTGAGACAGTCAAATGTTAAAGCTCCAAAATGATCTCCTTTGACTCCATGTCTCACATCCAGGTCACACTGAAGGAAGATGTGGATTCCCATAGTCTTGAGCTCCACCCCTGTGGCTTTGCAGGGTAGAGCCTCCCTCCCAGCTGTTTCCAATGGCTTGTATTTTCTATGGCTCTTCCAGGAGCACAGTGAAAGCTGTCAGTGCATCTACCATTCTGGGGTCTGGAAGATGATGGCTCTCTTCTCACAGGAACACTAGGTGGTGCCCCAGTAGGGACTCTGTGTGGAGGCTCCCACCCCACATTTCCCTTCCACACTGCCCTAGCAGAGGTTCTCCATGAGAGCCCTACCTCTGCAGCAAACTTCTGCCTGAACATCCAGGCATTTCCATACATCCTCTGAAATCTAGGTAGAGGTTCCCAAACCTCAATTCTTGACTTCTGTGCACCCACAGGCTCAACGCCATGTGGAAGCTGCCAAGGCTTGAGACTTGCATCTTCTAAAGCCACAGCCCAAGCTCTATGTTGGCCCCTTTCAGCCACAGCTGGAGCAGCTGGAATGCAGGGCACCAAGTCCCTAGGCTGCACACAGCAATGGGCACCCTGGGCCTGGCCCAGGAAACCACTTTTTCCTGCTAGGCCTCTGGGCCTGTGATGGGAGGGGCTGCTGTGAAGAACTCTGACATGTCCTGGAGACATTTTTGCCATTGTCTTGGGGATTAATGTTCGGCAACTCATTATGTATGCTAATTTCCACAGCTCACTTGAATTTCTCCTCAGAAAATGGAATTTTCTTTTCTATTGCATTGCCAGGCTGCAAATTTTCCAAACTTTTATGCTCTGCTTCCCTTACAAAACTGAATGCTTTTAAAAGCACCTAAGTCACTTCTTGAATGCTTTGCTGCTTAGAAATTTCTTCTGCCAGATACCCTAAATCATCTCTCTCAAGTTCAAAGTTCTGCAAATTTCTAGGATAGGGCAAAATGCCACCAGTCTCTTTGCTAAAACATAACAAGAGTCACCTTTGCTCCAGTTCCCAACAAGTTCCTCATCTCCATCTGAGACCATCTCAACCTGGATTTCAATGTCCATATCATTATCAGCACTTTGGTCAAAGCCATTCAACAAGCCTCTAGGGAGTTCCAAACTCTCCCTCAGTTTGTTATCTTCTTCTGAGCCCTTCAAACAGTTCCAACCTCAGCATGTTACCCAGTTGCAAAGTCTTTTTCATGTTTTTGGGTATTGTTTCAGCAGCAACCCACTCTACTGGTACCAATTTAATCTATTAGTCCATTTTCATGCTGCTGATAAAGACATATCCAAGACTGGGAAGAAAAATAGGTTTAATGAACTTATAGTTCCATATGGCTGGGAAACCTTACATTCATGGCAGAAGGCAAGGAGGAACAAGTCATGTCTTACATGGATGGAAGCAGGCAAAGAGACAGAGGGCTTGTGCAGGGAAACTCTGCCTTATAAGGCCATCGGATCTCATGAGAATTATTCACTATCAGGAGAACAGCATGGGAAAGACCTGATCCCATGATTCAATTACCTCCCACCAGGTCCCTCTCACAACATGTGGGAATTTAAGATGAGATTTAAGTAGGAGCACAGCCAAACCATTTCAGGGGACAACTTTATTTTTTTTTCTATTTGACACAAAAGTGGCAGGTGAATTTTTGTGGTCTTGAGTTAACCTTGCCTCTCTGCCAAATGTACATTGATAATTTTGTATAAGTGTAGGTCAGCAAGATATTGCTTAATATTATAATTAGGAATTAAGGAAGAAAATACATTTTCAGAAATAGAAGTTCAACAGATTTTTTTTTTGCTTCCCCTTTCCCCCACCCTGCCCAACGTATATCTAAGTTATGTTCTTCGGTTTGTCATGTTAGGACAAAGGCAAAGTGTTCTTTTTTGATAGTTGTGTGTAGCTTTTATGATTTTTTCACACACGTTTTAACAGAGACTTTTTAGTGCTGAGCAAAAAGGATTGGGGATAAAGTAAATTAGAGGATCACTTTTGAAGTCTAAATCAATTTCTGCCTCCCATCATCATTTTAAATGAATTAAAGTTAAAATATGATGCCACAGTAGAAATTTAAAAATAATCCTGGAATACAGAAAGCCTTCCTAAGTAACATAAGAATATCTAGGAGCCATAAATGAAAAGAGTAACAAAACAAAACATCTAAAAATATATGTCTTTTATACAGTGAGAAGCACTGTACAATAAATTTCATAGACAAATGTAAACTGGCAGAATTATTTAGCACAAATAAAAAAGGAATTAATTGACATTATATATGATGGTATATTACAAATTAACAAAGAAGAACACTGCCCTAGAGGAAAATGGTATCTTAACCCAAACCGCCTAGAAAACAGAGATAGAGTCAGTCTCATGTGGCAATGGTTTACTGGAAGATGCAATCTCAAGGCAGAAAGACTGAGAGAAAGAAGGCAGGGAGAAGAGAATAAAATCAGGGACAAGCAATTCAAAAACCAAGTTCATCTGTCCAGTAAAAGGAAAAATAAATTTACCTGCCTGTTCCTTCCTGCTTCCTCTGCCCTATTTGTCAAGATTCCTCTAATAGGGAGTTAAATATTTGCCCCTATTAGTTGAGTGTATTGGCCTCTTTGGGAAGCCAGTTCCTCTCCCTCTATTATGGTGCCTCATTCAAGGCACCATAGAAATGATGGGAAAATATGGAGACTCTGAGTGCAGGTGTGCCTCAGGAAATAGAACATTGGAAATATTCATAGACTTGCTTGTGTCTAATAGTTGAGCATGTTGGAGGCAGGTGAGGCTGATAAAACATAAAGAGGAATATATGTTACAAATGATCAAGTAAAATGAACAGAAAATTCATGAAAGTATTATAAAAATTGCCAACAATTATATAAAAAGATATTTATCTTCACAAAAAATCAGGAAAATGCTACTTAAATAACAAAATGTACTTACACATAAACTTGACAAAATTTAAAAGTAATATCCACTCTTAAAAAGACTGCAGAAAAAGAGTCATTCTTATATAGTATTGGAAATATTGTAAATTTGTATAGCTTCCTTGGAGGAAAAATGTATTATACATCAAATATTAACTACACAACCATGGTTAATGGAAGATGCTAACACTGAAGAAGCTAGGGGACAGGTAATGAAGAAACCCTGTATAACCATTGTAAAACATCTGTAAAACTACAATTATTTCAAAATAAAAATTTGAATAAAATTAACAACATACATAACCTCCAATCAATCAATGTTTCATGCCATATATTCTATAAAATAATTGTACACATATACAAATTCAACGGTATGCAGTAACTTAGTGAAGACCTATTTGTAATAACAAAAAATTGGAAACATCAATAAGGTGATACTTAAATAAAGTAGATTATCTGTTCTCTGGAATGCTATACCATAGCTTCAAAAATGAAGTGTTCATGTGTTAGAGACATGAAATAGTCCCTAATATAGATTTTTAACCAAGAAAAAAAGTTGGGGAAAACACATTTACTACTGTATTTACATAAAAATGTATGTATAAAATCCACACAAAGACATGATGTACCTTAAACCCATATTGCAATGTGAAAGAAGTCATTCTGAAAAGACTAAAAACTGTATGGTTATATGACATTTTGGAAAAAGCAGAATTATAGACATGGTTTGTAAATCAATGGTTACCAGGTGCTTTGGGAGAAGCGAATAAATGAAAAATTATCTAGAGCAATAAAGCTATTCTATATGCTATAAAAATGGTGAATATATGACACTATGCATTTGTCAAGACCCATGGAACTTCACAACACTAAGAGTAAATTTTAATGTATAAAACATTTTTTAAAACCATTTAAGGTATTAGGGAATACCAGAATGGAATGCAGACTGTAAAAGAGAATCTAACTGCAATAGAAATTTATGAAACACTGAAATGGATGTGAGAAAAAGGTACTGACCTTGGAGATGAACAGAGACTAGAGGACTAAAGACAAAAGAAACTACAGGTACACTATACTCTAACTGATGAGTTATTTCCACTAGACATGTTACTGCAAGTTAAGCAAATGGATGAAATGGATGGTGGCTTCTCACTGAGGGTGAGGGGTGGTTACAGGAAACCAAGAGGAGAGGAGTAAAATGATTCTTGTGGTAATGGGCTAGAGTTAAAGACATTTTTATGAATTTATGTTGACTGAATATAGATACATTTGGATAAATTTGTAAATATGTATAGATATGTATATGTACACAAGTTACTGTATGCATATATATTTCCTTCCTCTGTCAGCTGAGAGAGTCTAGAAGCAGCAGCATCACAGGAACATTGAGCACATCTAGAGCCAAGACCTTAGTTTCTAAAACCATTTACAAATAAAAGGAACCATTTCTTTAAAGAAATGGCTGATTTTGGAAGTGGGTGAAGAAATATACAGGATGAGTCTATAGCATCTTGTAGTGCCAGAAAGCAATCAAATGCTCAAAAAAGAAGAAAAAGAGAAGAAGAAAGAGAGAGAGAAAGACAGAAAGAAAGAAGAAAAGAAGAAAGAAAGAAGAGAAAGAAAGAAAAAAGAAAGAAAGAAAAGGAAAAGGAAAGAAAGAAAGAAAGGAAAGAAAGAAAGAAAGAAAGAAAAAGAAAGAAAGAAAGAAAAAAGAAATAAAGAAAGAAAGAAAGAAAGAAAGAAAGAGAAAGAAAGAAAGAGATAAGAAAAAGGAGGAAAGGAGGAAGGGAGGAGGGGAGGGAGGGAGGAGGGAGGGACAGGGGTATGTAAAAAGATATATGAGCCAACGGAAAAAAAAAACCAATGTCTAAAACTGAAACAATTTGAACAAAGTTAATAAAGTAGTATTGGATTATAACACAATGTCTAAAATAAGTGTTTAAATATATAAATCATAATGGAAGAAGAGACAAATCTGTGCAGATACTTCACCCTGAAGGAAGTGAAGGAAGACTGCACATTTCAAGCTGGGCTGTACATAGTAGCTTTCTTCCAAAAAGTACAGTTTGTAAAGAAGGGGAGTGATATAACTTTACAATGGAGAAATCTAAGAAACACTACCTACAGGTGATATAGGTTAACATCAACAGTGATAAATCATGATGATAGTATATACCCTTTTGTGATGTGATGAGAATGACACTTTATCTCTGTGGTCTTCCTCACAAAATCTGATAACCACATTCTAATCATGAGAAAAATATCAGACTAGTTTGAAGTATTCTAAAAAACACCTGATCAAAACTTTAAGATCAGGAAAGCTTGGGAAGCTTTCCTGACTTAAAGAGACATAAAAACTAAATACAATGCATTATTTACTGAAAAGCAAAAATTGTATTTAAAAACTTCTGAGTGTTAAAATATATTCTAGAGAGTTGTATGTTACCATATGAGCCATGCTCCTATCTTACTCTATTTTCCACCCCTTAAAGAGCCTCTCCAATATGGTTTTTTTTTTTTTTTTGCCTTTATATCTTTAGGGTTTTGAATGTGGTTAATTTGGTATTCTGAGGAGTGTCTTTCATATGTGAGTGAATAAATTTTACAAGCACAAACAAGTTTTTAATATCAATACAGAGTTTCTAATTCTCATACAATATTTCTACCTTGATAAATGTTTATAATTTCAAAAGAAAGACAAGAAATTTAATCTAGCTTTTATTTTCTTTGTTCTACTCACTAATCCAATCTTTTTAAAAAGAGAACAATATATGCCTTGAAAATTTAGTAAAAATGTGCCTTGGATATATGCAATCTGATGATTGATCAAGTCATTCTTTCATTATTCCATTTTTTGACTTTCATCATTTTGATGACTATTATCATTCAGAAAATAAAATACAAAAGTAACAAAATGCATGTCTTCTCTAAGATCAAGTACAATGTAAAGGTATTAAATGCCCATTATTTCTCTTATATGTATTTCATTCCCTAATTTAAAAGGTTGATTAAAACCATAGAAGTATAAAATATATGTACACAAACTTAAACATTTTATGTCAACCTAACATATATATATATTTATTCATCTGACAATCTTCATGTAGACACAAGATATTTTTTCTAAACAGGTTCATTGAGTACAGCTATTATTTTGTCTTGCTTTTTGCTTTTGTTTTCATACTTATAAAACATCAACTATAATTTTCACTGTTTTTTAAGAGGGAAAAAGATGTCCAGAAATTTCCAAAGTAATCTGAGTTTAGAATCCTCTTATAATTTTATGATGTTCTTTCTAACCCTTTATATTGCCTCGTCCATATTTAATTTATCTTCATTTTTTTTAGCAACTAGCTGTTACCAAGTCTTTTCAAAGCATTCAACTTAGGTTTTGAGGAAATAAATTTATTATTTGCACTTATTTTATTGGTTGATATAACATTTAAGTAAACTGAGTGATTTCTGTATAAAAAGAAAAAACTAATATTTGCATAATCACAAGTGCCTTGTTAAGATACAATGAACTGGTTAAAGTATAAGTGATCTGTCAGATAGGAGAGTAATTGATAACTACAAGCATACAGATGGCATGAGCCAGTATGGTTTACTGGGAGAATGGTGAATGTAGTTAGTTAATCTGGCAAATTGAGAGATTTTTATTTTAAATGAGATCTGATATATAGAGATGATTTTTTTCTGTATCTGTCTAAACCAAAAACAAAATATCCATATAAACATATAGATATAAAAGTAAAAATAATAATGGCATAAAAAACATACTTTAAATGAAAATTGAGATTCTCACAAGGACAACAGTTTATATACTACAGAAATGAAGTGATATGGTTTGGCTGTGTCCCCATCCTAAGCTCATCTTGAACCATAGCTCTCATAATCCCCACATGTCTTAGGAGAGACCCAGTCGGAGGTAGTTGAATCATGGAGGTGGGTTTTTCCCCTACTATTCTCACAATACTGAATAAGTCTTATGAGGTCTGATAGTTTTATTAAGGGGAGTTCCCCTACACATGCTGTCTTGCCTGACACCATGCCAGATGTGCCTTTGCTTCTCCTTTGCTTCACACCATGATTGTGAGGCCTCTCCAGCCATGTGGAACTGGGAGTCAATTAAGCCTCTTTCCTTTCCAGATTACCAAGTCTCAGATATTTCTTCATAGCAATATGAAAATGGACTAACACAGCAAAT
The DNA here is from genome assembly GCF_000001405.40 of Homo sapiens. Classification (NCBI taxonomy): domain Eukaryota; kingdom Metazoa; phylum Chordata; class Mammalia; order Primates; family Hominidae; genus Homo; species Homo sapiens. The sequence continues at coordinate 91,671,243 of NC_000004.12, read as the reverse complement.
TGGTACCAGTAAAGTGGGGGTGCTGCTGTAAAGATACCCCAAAATGTGGAAGCAACTTTGGAACTGGGTGACAGGCATAGGTTAGGGCAGTTTGGAGGGCTCAGAAGAAGATAGGAAAATTTGGGAAAGTTTGAAACTTCCTAAAGACTTGTTGAATGCTTGGACCAAAATGCTGATAGTGATATGGATGATAAAGTCCAGGCTGAGGTGGTTTCAGATGGAGATGAGGAACTTGTTCAGAACTGGAGTAAAGGTCACTCTTGCTATGCAAAGAGACTGCCGGCATTTTGTCCCTGCCCTAGAGATCTGTGGAAATTTGAACTTCAGAGAGATGATTTAGGATATCTGGTAGAATAAATTTCTAAGCAGCAAAGTGTTCAAGAGAAAGCAAAGCATAAAAGTTTGAAAAAGCTGTAGCCTGACAATGTAGTAGAAAAGAAAAACCTATTTTCTGGGGAGAAATTCAATCCCACAGCAGAAATTTGTATAAGTAACGAGGAATCAAATGCTAATCACCAAGACAATGGGGAAAATGTCTCCAGGGCATGTCAGAGACCTTCACGGCAGCCCGTCTCATCACAGACCCAAAGGCCTAGGAGGGAAAAATGGTTTCCTGGGCCAGGTCCAGGGCTGCCCTTGCCATGTGCCCTGCATCCCAGTCACTCCAGCTGTGGCTAAAAGGGGCCAAGAAACAGCCCTGGCCATGGCTTCAGAGGGTGTAAGCCCCAAGCTTTGGCAGCTCCACATTGTGTTGAGCCTGTAGGTGTACAGAAGTCAAGAGTTGAGTTTTCAGAACATTCACCTAGATTTCAGAGGATGTATAGAAATGCCTGTATGTCCAAGCAGAGGTGTGCTGCAGGGGTGGAACCATCATGGAGAACCTCTGCTAGGGCAGTGCAGAATAGAAATGTGGGGTTGAAGCCACCACACAGAGTCCCTACTGGATCACTGCCTAGTTCAGCTGTGAGAAGAGGGCCACTGTCCCTCAGACCACAGAATGGTAGATCAACTGACAGCTTGCACTGTGCATCTGGAAAAGCTACAGACACTCAACAACAGCCTGTGAAAGCAGCTGGAAGAAGGTCTGTACCCTGCAAAGCCATAGGGGTGAAGCTGCTCTAGACTGTGGGAACCATGCTCAATATGGTACTTATATTCAGATAATTATTATCTATCCTCATTTTTCACCTCTTGCATCAGCATGACTTGTACATGAGACATAGTGTCCAAGGAGATAATTTTAGAAATTTAAGGCTAAAGACTGCCCTACTGGATTATGGACTTGCCTTTTCTCAGATGAGAACTTGGACTTGGACTTTTGAGTTATTGCCAGAGTGAGTTAAGACTTTGGGGGACTGTTGGGAAGGCATGATTGGTTTTGAAATGTGAGAGTATGAGACTTGAGAGGGGCTGGGAGCAGAATGATATGGTTTGGCTGTATCCTCATTCTAATCTCATCTTGAATTGTAGCTCCCATAATCCCCACATGTCATGGGAAGTGCCCAGTGGGAGGTAATTGAATCATAGGAACAGGTTTCTTTCCCATGGTGTTCTCATGATAGTAAATAAGTCTCATGAGAGCTAGTGGTTTTATAAAGGGCATCTCCCCTGCACACATTCTCTTGCCTGCCACCATGTAAGATGTGCCTTTGCTCCTCCTTTGCCTTCTGCCATGATTGTGAGGCCTCCCTAGCCATGTGGAACTGTGAGTCCATTAATCCTCTTTCCTTTATAAATTACCCAGTCTTGGGTATTTCTTCATAGCAGTATGAAAATGGACTAATACATGAAGGAACAAAGAAAAATGTCTTATGGAATAATAATTAAAGTTTCAATGGTAATACAAATAATGGCTAACACTTATTGAGCATTTACCATGTACTCAACATTGTACTTATGCTGAGGTAAGTATTATCTATCCTCATTTTTCAAAAGAAGAAACTGAGGCACAAAGAGATTAAGTAGTTTGCCTAAGGTCTACAGCTAATGTGAGAAAAATATATTATAAAATGTCACATGCTGAATAAAACTACCTTAACCACTTAAGGAATCAATGGAAACATGATTACAATACAGAAGGTAAACCGAAATAATATAAGGCTATCTAGAAGAAAAAAAGTTGTTTTTTTTTTAAAAATGAAGAGCATTACAGGCTCTGAGGGTTAGGATACAAAATAAAATATAATAAAAAACTAAGAAAAAAAATGAAGAGGAAAGCCTTCTGCCTAAATTCTCTTTAGATGAAGAACTGCAGATGCAGTTCCAATAGTAATTATTATTTCTGTACAACAGCCATCCAATAAAAGCAGCTTAGAGGGACAAAAATGTACTGCCTCACTCAATCATAGAAAGCATTAATCACAAAAATAAATAAATAACATAACATAAATGAACCTCACAATAGAAAAATGCATGACACTTCACTTGAGAGCTTTTTATTTTCCTTCTAAGAACAAATATTATAGGATATTTTGTTCAATGCTATCTTATAGGAATCCAGGTAAGGCTCTAAGAATCTCTGATTTATTTTCCACATGGAAAAATTATGTGATTAACAGAGCTATAGTAAAAGGGAGTTATTAATTAATGGGCGTAAAGATTCAGTTAAGCAAGATGAACAAGCTCTAGAGATCTGCTACGCAACATTGTACCTGTTGTCAACAATATCATATTATACCCTTAAAAATTACTTAAAAGGGAACATCTCATATTAAGTTGTCTTACCACAGGAAAAAAATTAATAAACATAATCATAGAGGTTATCAGATATGCTAGGAGAAATCTCTGCTATCTTGGAGCAAATAACATGTCCTTCTTTGCATTTGCAATGTTTATGCAATTCTCATGCTGTAACTCTGACAAATTATAAGAACTAGGAAAAGGTCTAAAGAAGGCAACTAAAATGATAAACAAATGAATGGGCCTCTAAACAAGAGCAAACTGATAAAGCAGTATTTTGTCTGTAGGAATTTAGGTGTGCTATCAAACTGAAAGATAGTAGAACTAGTATTACCACTGCTATTTGAAATTTCAAACAATATATTTAAGACAAAATTATATACCACTTTAGAAAGCATTGTGTATAATGCGATTAGTTATACCTAGGAGTAATACAAAGTATACATAGTTTCCAGCAATGGTAAGAAAGCAGGGTTTGGTGGAAATGGCTGACTGTATATCTGTTCGAATATTTTTTCTGCCTCTCCCTGCAGGAGAGTTATACATGCCTTCTCATTGATATCAGAAATGACCTTGTGACTTAACCTTGAAAATAAAGTGTTGGTGGAAGTGATAAGTTTCAGTTCCAAGTAAGAAACTTTAATGATAGTAGGTGATTTGGAGTGATGATCTCTTTTCCCTCAATTTCCAGCAATGTTCCAGATCGCGGTTGCTTCGTTCACCTAGTTCACCACAGAGAGAATGACACAGGAGGACAGCCACAGCCAGGCCTAACGTAGACTTGTTAAGTGGATGAGACGTGACTTGCCATTGTTGTTGGGGGAAACTTAGCCTATCCAGAATGACAAAGTAGACATGGAGATGGTTCCCCCTAGCAACTGAGAAGTATGTAATTATACACCTTAAAATTATTTTCTAAAAGCTTACTCTAAGGTAGGAACTATACCAGATACTACAGAAACAACAACCAATGTCCCATCCTTAAATACTTCAAAGCCTACCACAGAAACAAATATGAAAACATAGATTTACAGAAAAATGCCTATATTAACATATAGATACTAAACCTGTGTTTAAGTCTGAAATTTAAGTATATTTACATGTCAGAAAGAGGTTTCTTAGCTCAAGAAGACAAACGTATCTTTTTAAAAAAGCAATTTTGTTATAATGATGCTAATGGAAATATTTGTATAACACTACATGCCTGACACTGAGTACTGGGCATATATTTACCATTTCATCCTAACAGTCTTGGGAAGTAGCTACTATTATTAACCATTTCATAGCTGAGGAATTTAAGGCATTAAAGGTTAAGTGATTTCCAAAACTACGAGGATTGCTGGCAAGATTCTGAGTTCTACACATGTATTAACTTCTAGTCTTCCTTGAAATCTTGCTAAAATAATAGTAAAGATGTTTTTAAGGCCATAAATTTACAAGAACAATGAAAATTATAAACCATAGAGACAAAGTTTTACAAACTAGAATGCCATTTCTTCCTCTGAACAGCCAGATAAATTCTGTCACCTCTTTGGAAAACTAAAAAATGTTTACCTCAACTTATAATGAATATAAAAATATAGTTAAAAGGAAAAGCATGGAAAAAATAGTCTATTCAAACACTCATCATAATAAATCTTCCTGTATATTGATATAGCCAAATAAATTTCAGAACAAAGAACATTTATAGAAATCAAGAAGGACAGAAGGAAGACAGAGTAACCCTAAATATCTATGTGCTTGACTTCAAAATATATGAAGGAAAACTGTCAGGAATGCAAGGATGGTAAAAAATTCACTTAATGTAATTAGCCATATTAATAGAATAAAAAAGAAAAACTATATCATGGCCTTAAAAGATGCAGAAAATACATTTGATATATTTTCTTTTTTTAACTTTTATTTTAAGTTCAAGGTTACAAGTGTAGGTTTGCTTCATAGGTAAACGTGTGCCATGGGGGTTTAGTGTACAGATTATTTTATCACCCAGGTATTAAGCTTAGTACCCATTAGGTATCCATTAGGTTAATAGGCTTAATACATGCAGTATTTGGTTTTCTGTTCCTGTGTTAGTTTGCTAAGGATAATGGCTTCCCTTTTATGATGGACATACATAATAGTAAGAACAAAAAGGAACTACTCCAACCTGATAAGGGGCTTCAACAAAGAACCTACAGGTAACAATTTATTTAATGGTAAAAGATTGGATGTTTTCCTTCCAAGATCAAGAACAGGACAAAGTTATCTATTCTCATTACTTTTATCCAACATTGTACTGCAGACCATCAGAAAGAAAGAAGTAAAATCACCTTTAGTCACATTGACATGATCTTTCATATAGATAATCCTAAAAATCTGGAAAAAAGAGACTACTAGAACTAATAAATAAGTTCAGCAAGTTGTAGGACACTAGGTCAATATGCAAAAATCAACTTATTTATGCACTTTAGCAATAAAAATCCAAAAATAAAATTAACAATTAAATTTACAATACTTTCAAAATATTTAATGCTTAAGAATAAATTTAGAAGTTTTATATAATGAAAACTATAAAATTTATTGAAATGTTGTTGAATATTTTTGAAAACTATAAAATCATGTAGAAATAAATTTAAAAACAAAATTAATGGAATGAGAGGAATAGCAACCCATATTCATATAAAATACTTAATATTAAAATAACAGTGATCCTCAAATTCATAGACAGTTTCGAGTTAATCATTATGAAACTCTAAGACTTCTTTCTTACAAAAATTGAAAAGCTGATTTTATTAGTTATATAAAAATTCAAGGGACCCTGAATAGCCAAAATAATCCTGACAAAGAAGAGCAAATTTGAGGGACTCACAATTGAATTGGACTTCCCAATTTCAAAACCTACTACAAATCTTCAGTAGAAAAGACACACTATAGTACTGCCACAGGACAGACATGAAGATCAATGGACTATAACTGACATTCTAGAAACAAATCATGACTTTTATGCTAAAATTATACTCGATAAATCATCAGGAAAATTCAATGAGGAAGAAATATTCTTTTCAAAAGTAGTGCTGGAACAACTGGATGTCCATGTGCAAAAGTATAAAGTTAAACCTCTAACTCACACCATTCACAAAGATTAACTAAAAATGGACTATAGTTATAAAAGTAAAATGTAAAACCATATAACTCTTAGAAAAAAAATGTAGGTGTAAATTATCATGACCTTAGGTTAGGCAATGTTTTCTTAGACAAGACAAGAAAGCATATCAAGAAAAAAATAGATAAATTTGATTTCATAATATAAAAATATTTTTTGCTACAAAGAACATCATCAATAAAGTAAAAAGACAAATGATGGAATGGGTGAAAATACTTCTAAATCATATATCTTATCATCATATCTTAAATCATGTATCTCTAAATCATATATCTGTAAAATGGTACAGGCACTTTACAAAACAGTTTGGCAGTTGGTCAAAAATGGGACTAACATTCAGAATATATAAAGGACACTTACAACTCAAATGTAAAAAGGCAGACAACCTGATTTTTTTAATTGGCAAAGGATTAGAATAGATATTTCTCCAAAAGAGATATAAAAGTAGCCAATAAGCATTGATAAAATGCTCAGTATAATCAGATATTAGGGGTCCACAAACCAAAACTACAATGAGATACCACTTCACACTCACTAGAATGGCTAAAATAAAAAGATATAAAATAACATGTATTGACAAGGATGTGGGAAAATTAGAACACTTATTCATTGCTGGTCAGATTGTAAAATAGTACAGGCACTTTACAAAACAGTTTGGCAGTTGGTCAAAAAGCTAAACATTGAATTTCCATATGACCCAACAATTCCACTTCTAATTACATACCCAAAGAAGATAAATGAAAATATATGTCCAGACAAAAACTTGTACATGAAAATTCATAGCAGCATTAGTCATAATAGTCAAAGTGGGACTTAAATGTTCATCAGCTGACCCCTTGATATACAGATGTGGCATAGCCAGACTATGAAATGTTATCTACCCACAAAAAGAGAATGAAGTACTAATACTTGCTACATCATGAATAAACCTTGTAAAAGTTATGCTTAGTAAAAGAGGTCAGAAGAAAAACCCACATATTACAGGATTTCATTTATATGAACCACCAAATCATACACCTTAAAATGGTAAATATCATTTTTGAAAATAATATTTCAATAAAAGTGTTAAAAAAATCAGTGTGTGCACAAAGAAGGACCAAAATGCTGAGTAGATAAGCATATATCAATTAGAGCATTAGAAACAATGCTGGAATTCATCAAGGAGAGACAGGGACCATCACAGGCACAGAAAAATAGGAGACTTAAGCAGCTGGACCAGCTGAGATGAGTTTATAGCCAGGAGAGTCTCCTTGTTTTGGCGAAAAGGGAAGCAAGAGCTCCCCAGCAGTCCACACTTGTATCACAAATGCCTGCAATTTAGCCACAGGAGAGCACCTTGGCTACCATAGGCCCTAATCCTAGTATAAGAAGTAGCTTAGAGTAAATGTGACTGCATTGTTCCTGAGAGAGAATTCACTCTACATCCCACACTGCGACTGAGATCCAAACTGCTGCAACATGGTGCCATTTTGAGAGCCCAGGTCCCACCAGATTACATCCTAATAACCCCTGCAACTCCACATTCTGGAAGCTGCACTGACAACCACCCAGAGTGTTGCAGCATCACAATATTGGCTGGACCTAGTGGAGGTACAGCTAAGAACCCAGCAATCTAGCCCATGTAGTGTCCTACAATCAGAGCAACATGAGGTTCAGTGCAACAGGAATGCTGCCTGTAGGACAAAGGGAGGTGACACATGTTTCCAAGAGCATGGAAGCCAACTCTCTGGAAATGCTCTCACTGACAACAACGCTGTCTCCTCCAGTGGTAGGGCCACCATGCACCTGCATGTGCCTTTTGGGGGCCTGAAGACTGGCCCATCCTACCCACCACCACAAACAATACTCATGCACACTGCCTGAGTACCTGAGAACAGAAGTGTCATCAATGCAGCCTATGCTGCACATAGGCCACATACTGTGGGCATAAGATCCTGGGCACTAAGGTTCAGCAGGCCCTATTGGCCAACAGTAGCACCTTCAGGAACCTAAGGATAGACCCACCACTCTTGCTGCCACCTCCAGTGTCTGCACACAACTTTGGGAGGCCTGGGAACTAGACCACTCAGCCTGCTGCTGCTGCCACTGACACCAACCCAAGAGTGCCACCTGGGGACCTAAGGACTGGCCACCTGACATCCCCATCCTCAACAGATACCACTAAAGTTTATTACAGCCAAAGAAATGACAGAAATCACATTACTGCACACATCCAGAATCAAAGCCAAAAGACCCCCACCCAACTGGCACTGTAGATACATCTACAGAAAAAAGTATGTCCCTGTGAAAGTCAGTACATAAAATTAGAAGAAACAACCATTACACCAAATGTGTTGATATCAATTATATCAATTAAGGACATAAGAATCATGAAGGAGCAAGGAAACCTGACACCTTCGAATAATACAATAATTCTCCAGTAACACATTCCAAAGTAAAGGAAATCTATGCAATACCTGAACAAAAAGATATATATTATAAAACAGAAATCAAATCAAACAGAAATCTTGGGACTGAAGAATTCAATGAATGAAACAAAAAAGATAATTAAGAGCTTCAATAATAGACTAGATCAAGCAGAAGAAAAAAATTCTGTACTTGAAGACAGGTCTTTTAAGATAACCCAATTACACAAGAAAAAAAAGAAAAAGAAAAACTCTATGTTCATATGGGACAGGATCAAGTGAATAAATATTTGAATTCTGAGAGATTCAGAAGGAGCAGGGATTTTTCCAAAGGCATAGAAAAACTATTTAGTGAAATAATAGCTAAAATTTCTCAGTCTTATAAGAGATGTAGGTAATAAGTTACAGGAAATTTAAAGATTCCCAAATAGATGCAATTCAAATAGGTCTTCTTTGAGGCATATTACAGTGAAACTGTCAAAAATCAAAGACAAAGAATTTTAAAAACAGCAAAAAATAAATGTCAAGTAACATGTAACAGAATACCCAACAGACTAACAGCAGATATCTCTATGGAAAACTGAGAGTTAAAGAAGTCCTAGCTGGAGCAACCAGGCAAGAGAAAGAAAGAAAAGGCATTCAAATTGTAAAAGAGGAAGTCAAATTATCCATGTTTGCTGATCTTCTATCTAGAAAAACCTGAAGACACTACCAAAAAAGTTCTTGGATTTGATAAATAAATTTAGTAAAGTTACAGGAGGCAAATTGAATATACAAAACTCAGGAGCATATCTTTATACTAAAAGCAATCCACCTGAGAATGAAATTGAAAAGGCAATTCCATTTACAATAACTAGAAAAAAAAATACCTAGGAATAAACTTAACCATGGAGGTGAAAGATCTCTACTAGAAAAGCTACAAAACACTGATAAAAGAAATTGTAGATGATGCAAACATATGGAAAAACATCCCATGTACATGAATCCGAAGAATTAATGTCATAAAAATGACCATACCTCCCAAAGCAATTTACAGAGTCAGTATGATCCCTATCAAAATAAAAATGTCACTTTTCACAGAATTAAAAAAAAAAATTCCTAAGATTGGTGTGGAATGAAAATAGAGCCCAAATAGCCAAAGCAATCCTAAGTATAAAAGAACAAAACTGGAGGCATCACATGTTCTGACTTCAAATTATTCTATGTAGCCTTGTAGTATAATTGTAGTACCCTTGTAGTATAATTTGAAGTCAGAACATATGATGCCTCCAGCTTTGTTCTGACTTGGTACTAGCATGGTACTAGTATAAAAATAGACATATAGATCAATAGAACCAAATGAAGAAACCAGAAATAAAGCCACATATGTACAACCATTTGATCTTTGATAAACCAACAAGAACATACATTGAGGAAGGAACAACCTTTCCAATAAATGATGCTAGGATAACTGGATTGCCATATGCAGAAGAATGAAACTGAACTCCTATCATTCACCATTCACAAAAATCAACCCAAGATAGATTAGAGACATAAAGGTAAGACCCCAAACTGAAAGCACTAGAAGAAAACCTAGGTTAAACTCTTCTGGACTTTGGCCTGGGCAAAGAATTTACGACTAAAACCTCAAAAGTACAGACAATAAAAATAAAAAATACACAAAAATACTACTGCATAGCAAAAGAAATAATTAACAGTGTGAACAGACAACCTGCAGAATGGGAGATAATATTTGCAAACTATTTATCTAACAGTGGACTAATATCCAGAATATACAAGGAAATAAAACAACTCAACAACAAAAATAATCCAATTAAAAAGTGAGCAAAATACACTAGTAGACATTTTTCAAAATAAGACATACAAATGACCAACAGGTATATGAAAAATGATCAACATCATAAATCATCCAAGAAATGCAAATTAAAACCACAATGAGATATCATCTTACCTCAGTTACAATGGCTATTACTAAAGGACAAAAAATAACAGATGTTGATTAGTATGTGGAGAAAAGGGAGCTCTTATGCATTGTTTTTGGGAATGTAAATTAGTCCAACCTCTATGGAAATAAGTATGAAGATTTCCCAAAGAACTAAAAGTAGAACAACCATTCAATCTAGCAAATTCACCAGTAGATACCTACTCAAAAGAAAAGGAATCTTTGTCAAAAAGATACCAAGACTAGTATGTTTATTGCAGCATTATTCATGATAAAAATATAGACTCAAACTACGTGTCCATCAACAGGTGATTAGATAAAGCAAATGTGGGATATATGCACAATGGAATACTGTTTAGTATTCCATTCATAAAGAGGATAAAATCACATCTTTTGCAGCAACATGGATAAAACTGGAGGGCATCATCTTAAGTGAAACAAGCCAGACATAGAAAATGGAATATCACATGTTCTCACTCAGAAGTCAGTGCTAAAAAGTGTGTACACTGTCAGGCCTCTGAGCCCAAGCCAAGCCATCGCATGCCCTGTGACTTGCACATATAAGCCCAGATGGCCTGAAGTAACTGAAGAATCACAAAAGAAGTGAATATGTCCTGCCCCACCTTAACTGATGACATTCCACCACAAAAGAAGTGTAAATGGCCGGTCCTTGCCTTAAGTGATGACATTACCTTGTGAAAGTCCTTTTCCTGGCTCATCCTGGCTCAAAAAGCACCCCCACTGAGCACCTTGCAACCCCCACTCCTGCCCACCAGAGAACAAACCCCCTTTGACTGTAATTTTCCTTTACCTACCCAAATCCTATAAAACGGCCCCACCCTTATTTCCCTTTGCTGACTCTCTTTTCGGACTCAGCCCGCCTGCACCCAGGTGAAATAAACAGCCATGTTGCTCACACAAAGCCTGTTTGGCGGTCTCTTCACACGGACGCGCAGGAAATTTGGTGCCATGACTCGGATCAGGGGACCTCCCTTGGGAGATCAATCCCCTGTCCTCCTGTTCTGTGCTCCATGAGAAAGATCCACCTATGACCTCAGGTCCTCAGACCAGCTAGCCCAAGGAACATCTCACCAATTTTAAATCAGGTAAGCGGCCTCTTCTTACTCTCTTCTCCAACCTCTCTCACTGTCCGTCAACCACTTTCTCCTTTCCACTCTTCAATCTCTCCCTTCTCTTAATTTCAATTCCTTTCATTTTCTGGGAGAGACAAAGAAGACATGTTTTATCCGTGGACACAAAACTCCGGTGCCAGTCACGGACTGGAAAGGCAGCCTTCCCTTGGTGTTTAATCATTGCAGGGACACCTCTCTGATTATACACCCACCTTTCAAGGATGTCAGACCATGCAGGGAGGCCTGCCTTGGTCCTTCACCCTTAGCGGCAAGTCCTGCTTTTCTGGGGAAGTGGCAAGTACCCCAACCGCTTCTCTCCTTGTCTCTACCCCTCCTCTGCTTTTCTGGGAGAGGGGCAAGTACACCTCAACCCCTTCTCCTTCACCCTTAGCGGCAAGTCCCACTTTTCTGGGGCAGGAACAAGTACCCCTCAACCCCTTCTCCTTCACTGTTAGCAGCAAGTCCTGCTTTTCTACAGGGCAAGAACCCCCAATCCCTTATTTCCACGCCCCAACCTCTTATCTCTGTGTCCCAATCCCTTATTTCTGCACCCCAACCTCTTATCTCTGTGCCCCAATCCCTTATTTCCGCACCCTGACCTCTTATCTCTGTATCCCAATCCCTTATTTCCATGCCCCAACCTCATATCTCTGTGCCCCAGTCCCTTATTTCTGCACCCCAACCTCATATTTCTGCACCCCAATCCCTTATTTCTGCACCCCAACCTCTTATCTCTGTGCCCCAACCCCTTTTCCCACTTTTCTGGAAGGTAAGAACCCCCGAACCCCTTCCCTCCGTTTCTCTACTCTCTCTTTTCTCTAGGCTTGCTTCCTTCACTATGGGCAAGCTTCCACCCTCCATTCCTCCTTCTACTCCCTTGGCTTGTGTTCTCAAAAACTTAAAACCTCTTCAACTCACACCTGACCTAAAACCTAAATGCCTTATTTTCTTCTGCAATGCTGCCTGACCCCAATACAAACTCAACAGTAGTTCCAAATAGCCAGAAAATGGCACTTTGAATTTTTCCATCCTGCAAAATCTAAATAATTCTTGTCGTAAAATAGGCAAATGGTCTGAGGTGCCTTATGTCCAGGCATTCTTTTACACATCAGCCCCTTCCTAGTCTCTGTGCCCAGTGCAACTCGTCCCAAATCTTCCTTCTTTCCCTCCCGCCTGTCCCCCCAGTACCAACTCCGAGCCTCACTGAGTCTTTCTAATCTTCCTTTTCTACAGACCCATCTGACCTCTCCCTTCCTCCCCAGGCTGTTCCTCAACAGGCCGAGTTAGGTCCTAATTCTTCCTCAGCCTCCGCTCCTCCACCCTATAATCTTTTTATCACCTCCCCTCCTCACACCTGGTCCGGCTTACAGTTTCGTTCCGTGACTAGCCCTCCCCCACCTGCCCAGCAATTTACTCTTAAAAAGGTGGCTGGAGCCAAAGGCATAGTCAAGGTTAATGCTCCTTTTTCTTTATCCCAAATCAGACAGGGTTTAGGCTCTTTTTCATCAAATATAAAAATCCAGCCCAGTTCATGACTTGTTTGGCAGCAACCCTGAGACGCTTTACAGCCCTAGACCCTAAAAAGTCAAAAGGCCGTCTTATTCTCAATATATATTTTATTACCCAATCTGCACCCAACATTAAATAAAACTCCAAAAATTAAATTCCAGCCCTCAAACCCCACAACAGGATTTAATTAACCTCGCCTTCAAGGTGTACACTAATAGAAAAAGGTTACAATTCCTTGCCTCCACTATGAGACAAACCCCAGCTACATCTCCAGCACACAAGAACTTCCAAACACCTGAACCGCAGTGGCCAGGCATTCCTTCAGAACCTCCTCCCCCAGGAGCTTGCTACAAGTGCCAGAAATCTGGCCACTGGGCCAAGGAATGCCTGCAGCCCAGGATTCCTCCTAAGCCGCTTCCCATCTCTGTGGGACCCCACTGAAAATCGGACTGTTCAACTCACCTGGCAGCCACTCCCAGAGCCCCTGGAACTCTGGCCCAAGGCTCTCTGACTGACTCCTTCCCAGATCTTCTCAGCTTAGCGGCTGAAGACTGACACTGCCCGATCACCTCGGAAGACCCCTAGACCATCAGGGACGCCAAGCTTCTGGTAACTCTCACAGTGGAAGGTAAGCCCATCCCCTTCTTAATCAATACAGAGGCTACCCACTGTACATTACCTTCTTTTCAAGGGCCTGTTTCCCTTGCCTCCATAACTGTTGTGGGTATTGACGGCCAGGCTTCTAAACCTCTTACAACTCCCCAACTCTGGTGCCAACTTAGACAATACTCTTTTAAGCACTCCTTTTTAGTTATCCCCACCTGCCCAGTTCCCTTATTAGGCTGAGACACTTTAACTAAATTATCTGCTTCCCTGACTATTCCTGGACTACAGCTGTATCTCATTGCCTCCCTTCTTCCCAATCCAAAGCCTCCTTTGCATCCTCCTCTTGTATCCCCCCCACCTTAACCCACAAGTATAAGATACCTCTACTCCCTCCTTGGTGACCGATCATGCACCCCTTACCATCTCGTTAAAACCTAATCACCCTTACCACACTCAAACCCAATATCCCATCCTGCAGCACGCTTTAAAAAGATTAAAGCCTGTTATCACTCACCTGCTACAGCATGGCCTTTAAAGCCTATAAACTTTCCTTACAATTCCCCCATTTTACCTGTCCTAAAACCAGACAAGCCTTACAAGTTAGTTCAGGATCTGCGCCTTATCAACCAAATTGTTTTGCCTATCCACCCCATGGTGCCAAACCCATATACTCTCCTATCCTCAATACCTTCTTCTATAACCCATTATTCTGTTCTAGATCTCAAACATGCTTTCTTTACTATTCTTTTGCACCCTTAATCCCAGCCTCTCTTCACTTTCACTTGCACTGACCCTGACGCCCATCAAGCTCAGCAAATTACCTAGGCTGTACTGCCGCAAAGCTTCACAGACAGCCCCCATTACTTCAATCAAGCCCAAATTTCTTCCTCATCTGTTACCTATCTCAGCATAATTCTCATAAAAATACACGTGCTCTCCCTGCCAATCGTGTCCGACTGGTCTCTCAACCCCAGCACCTTCTATAAAAAAACAACTCCTTTGCTTCCTAGGCATGGTTAGCATGCTCAGAATTCTTACACAAGAGCCAGGACCACACCCTGTAGCCTTTCTGTCCAAACAACTTGACCTTACTGTTTTAGCCTAGCCCTCATGTCTGCGTGTAGCGGCTGCCGCTGCATTAATACTTTTAGAGGCCTTCAAGATCACAAACTATGCTCAACTCACTCTCTACAGTTCTCATAACTTCCAAAATCTATTTTCTTCCTCACACCTGATGCATATACTTTCTGCTTCCCAGCTCCTTCAGCTATACTCACTCTTTGTTGAGTCTCCCACAATTACCATTGTTCCTGGCCCGGACTTCAGTCCGGCCTCCCACATTATTCCTGATACCACACCTGACCCCCATGACTGTATCTCTCTGATCTAACTGACATTCACCCCATTTCCCCAAATTTCCTTCTTTCCTGTTCCTCACCCTGATCACGCTTGATTTATTGATGGCGGTTCCACCAGGCCTAATCGCCACACACCAACAAAGGCAGGTTATGCTATGGTACAAGCCACTAGCCCACCTCTCAGAACCTCTAATTTCCTTTCCACCGTGGAAATCTATCCTCAAGGAAATCACTTCTCAGTGTTCCAACTGCTATTCTACCACCCCTCAGGGATTATTCAGGCCCCCTCCCTTCCCTACACATCAAGCTCAAGGATTTGCCCCACCCAGGACTGGCAAATTAGCTTTACTCAACATGCCCTGAGTCAGATAACTAAAATACCTCTTAGTCTAGGTAGACACTTTCACTGGATAGGTAGAGGCCTTTCCTACAGGGTCTGAGAAGGCCACCACAGTCATTTCTTCCCTTCTGTCAGACATAATTCCTCACTTTAGCCTTCCCACCTCAATACAGTCTGATAACAGATGAGCCTTTATTAGTCAAATCAGCCAAGCAGCTTTTCAGGCTCTTAGTATTCAGTGAAACCTTTATATCCCTTACGGTCCTCCGTCTTCAAGAAAAGTAGAATGGACTAAAGGTCTTTTAAAAACACACCTCACCAAGCTCAGCCACCAACTTAAAAAGGACTGGACAATACTTTTACCACTTGCCCTTTTCAGAATTCAGACCTGTCTTTGGAATGCTACAGGGTACATCCCATTTAAGCTCCTGTATAGATGCTCCTTTTTATTAGGCCCCAGTCTCATTCCAGACACCAGACCAACTTAGACTATGCCCCAAAAAACTTGTCATCCCTACTATCTTCTGTCTAGTCATACTCCTATTCATCATTCTCAACTACTCATACATGCCCTGCTCTTGTTTACACTGCTGGTTTACACTGTTTTTCCAAGCCATCACAGCTGATATCTCCTGGTGCTATCCCCAAACTGCCACTCTTAACTCTTGAAGTAAATAAATAATCTTTGCTGGCAGGACTATGCCGAATCTCCTTAGGCACTCTCTAATCAGATATCCTGAGTCGTCCCAATTCTTAGACGTTTTATACCTGTTTTTCTCCTTCTGTTATTCCATTTAGTTTCTCAATTCATCCAAAACCATATCCAGCCCATCATTAATCATTCTATATGACAAATCTTTCTTCTAACATACCCACAATATCACCCCTTACCACAAGACCTCCCTTCAGCTTAATCTCTCCCACTCTAGGTTCCCACACTGCCCCTAATCCCGCTTGAAGCAGCCCTGAGAAACATCGCCCATTCTCTCTCCATACCACCCCCCAAAAACTTTCGCCGCCCCAACACTTCAACAATATTTTGTTTTATTTTTCTTATTAATATAAGAAGGCAGGAATGTCAGGCCTCTGAGCCCAAGCCAAGCCATCGCATCCCCTGTGACTTGCACATATAAGCCCAGATGGCCTGAAGTTACTGAAGAATCACAAAAGAAGTGAATATGCCCTGCCCCACCTTAACTGATGACATTCCACCACAAAAGAAGTGTAAATGGCAGGTCCTTGCCTTAAGTGATGACATTACCTTGTGAAAGTCCTTTTCCTGGCTCATCCTGGCTCAAAAAGCACCCCCACTGAACACCTTGTGACCCCCCACTCCTGCCCGCCAGAGAACAAACCCCCTTTGACTGTAATTTTCCTTTACCTACCCAAATCCTATAAAACGGCCCCACCCTTATCTCCCTTCACTGACTCTCTTTTCGGACTCAGCCCGCCTGCACCCAGGTGAAATAAACAGCCATGTTGCTCACACAAAGCCTGTTTGGTGGTCTCTTCACACGGACGCACATGAAATACCCATGGACATAGAAAGTGGAATGATAGACAATGAAGACTCACAAGGGTCAGGGAGTGGCAAGAAGGTGAACAAAGAGAAACTACTTACTGGATATGATGTATGTTTTTCAGGTGATGGGTACCTTAAAAGCCCTGACTTGACCACTACACAATCCATGCAGGTAACAAAATTGCACTTGTATCCCATAAATGCATAGAAATGAAAAAAATCAACATACAAAAATCAATATCATTTCTATGCACCAATAATGATCTAGTTGAAAAAGAAATAAAAAAGTAACCCCATTTACAATAGCTAAATAAATAAAATAAAATGCCTAGGAATAAATTTAACCAAGGAGGGGAAAGACTTCTACAAAGAAAACTCATAACTCTGGCAAAAGAAATCAAAAAGGACACAAACAAATAAAAAAAATTACACACTCAATGATTGGAAGAATAAATATTGTTAAAATGACCATACAATGTGATGCAATCTGTAAATTTAATGCAAACACTATCAAAATACTAATAACATGCTAAATATCATTGCTAAAATTTGTATGGAACCACAAAATGAATAGCCAAAGCAACACAAAGCAAATAGAACAAAGCTGGAGGTATTACACTACCTGACTTGACACTGTGCTACAAATATCTAATAACCCTGCATTTTATTCAGGGTTCTCCAAAAAGACAGAACCAATAGGATATATGTGTATATGAAAGAGAGTTTATTAGGGAGAATTGGCTCACACAATTACAAGGTGAAAACCCAATATAGGCTGTCTGCAAGCTGGGTAAAGAGAGAAGCTAGTAGCGTTGGCTCACTTCAAGTCTGAAAACCAGGGAATCCAATAGTGCAAACCTAAGTCTGAGACTGAAGATGTAAGAGCACTGTAAAGGCTGCTGGTACAAGTTCCCGAGTCCAAAGGCCAAAATACTTGGAGTCTGATGTCCAAGGGAAGAAAGAAAGGAAGCAAGCGTCAAGCACAGGAGAAGAGAGGGAGTGAGAGACCCAGCAAGCCTCTTGTCCCTTCATTGGTCTGCTTTGTTCTAGTCTCGCTGGCAGCAGATTAGATGGGGCCCACCCACAATGAGGGTGGGTTTTCCTCTTCCAGTCCATGGATTCAAACATCAATCTCCTCTGGCAGCACCCTCACAGACACACTCAGAAACAATACTTTATCAGACATCTAGGCATCCCTCAATTTAGTCGAGTTGACACCTAATATTAACCATCACAATAACCTAACATCATGATATTGCTATAAAAACTGATACACCAATGGAAAAGAATATGTAACCCAGAAGTAAATCTGCCTATTTACCTCCAGTTGATTTTTGGCAAAGTCATCAAAAACATACATTGGAAAAAGAATATCCTCTTCAATAAATGATGCCAGGAAAACTGGATATCCATATGAAGAAGGATGAAACTAGAGCCCTGTCTCTCATATAAAAAAAAAAACAACTCAGAATGTGTTAGAGGCTTAAATGTAAGACACAGAATTATAGAACTACTATAAGAAACTTAAGGAAAACTCTTCAGTGCATTGGTCTAGGCAAAGATTTTATGCCTAAAATTTCACAAGAGCAGACAACAAAACTAAAAATAGACAAAGAGACTATATGGAATGAGAAAGCTTCTGCACAGCAAAGGAAACAATCAACATAATGAAGAGATAACCTGTAGAATGGGAGAAAATATTTTCCAGCAATTCATCTGCAAAGAGCCTAACATTCAGAATACACAAGGAACTCAAACAATTCAACAAAAAACCCCAAATAATACAATTAAAAAGTAGGCAAAATATCTGAATAGACATTTCTCAGAAGAAGACAAGCAAATGGATAACAAATACATGAAAAAAGTGCTCAACATGACTAATCTTCCAATAAATGTAAATCAAAGCCACAATGAGATATCATCTCAACCCAGTTATGGTGAGAATGTGTAGAAAAGGAAACTGTGATACAAAGTCAGTGAGCATGTGAATTAGTACAACCATGGAAAACATTGTGGAGATTTCTCAAAAAACTAGAAATAGAACTACCATAAGATCGAGCAACAAATACTCATTACTGGCTATTTATCCAAAGGAAAGGAAATCAGTAGATCAAAAAATTCCTCCAAGTTCATGGTTATTGTAGCACTATTTACAATAGCTAAGATATGGAATCAACCTCAATGTCCATCAACAGACAAATGGATAAAGATAATGTGGTGTGTGTATGTGTGTTTGTATATACATAATTATATATACATATATGTATACAATTATATATACAATATATATAATATGTATACAATTGAACTAATAGATGAATTTAATAAAGTTGCATTATACATGGTTAATGTGTAAATTTAAGTACATTTTCATAACTAACCTTAAACAACTAGAGATAGAAGTTTTAAAATACCATTTACAATAGTGTGAAAACCCCTCTTACTTAGACATAAATTTAACAACATGGGTATGAATTTGCTTTACTGAAAACTATAAAACATTTCCAAGAGAAACTAAAAAGGACCTAAAAATGAAGAGTTATACTATTTTTGTATATCAGAAGACTCAATATAGTAACATATCAATTATCTCTAAATTGATTATTACAATTGAAATCTAGGAAACAATCAGAAGTAATTAGCAGAATATGTAAATATAACATTATTGATCTTAAATATACAGTATTAAACAAAAAAGTAAATATGTTTAGCCTAGCGTAATTTATGTAAATTAGACAGTGTATATTCAACATAATTTTTAAAATATATATATTGTATATAATGAAGAAGATTGTATTAGTTATGTTACAGGCTGTATCATGAAACACCAAACTATGCCTATAGGCCAAATATAAACAGTCACCTGTTTTTTTAAAATAAAATTTGGAACACATCCATTTGTGTGCAACCATTTATGTATTGCCTATGTCTCCTTTCACACTAAAAGGGAAGAGTTGAAGCATAGTTGGGTAGTTGCAACAGAGACTATATGTCTTGAAAGGCTGAAAATATTTACTATCTTGCCTTTTACAGAAAAAATTTGCCAAATCTTTGACTAACTTATTGTGAGGAAAAACTCCAAAGTATAGCGGCTCAAAACAAGATATGAGTATTTCATGTTTTTTTATTTATCTTTTCTGTTTTTGTTTCTTTTCATTTTACTGTGTAGTGGTAGATAGGCAGTTCAGGGCCAAAAAGGCATTTCTGTTACAGTCACCAAAATTTCACTTTCTTATGCTTTGCTATCTGGTAGTGTAGACTGCATTGCCCTCATCATCCTCAAAGCTGGCTGACCAAGACCACATACACATTTCAGCACGTGAGTAGGAGAAAGAGTGAAAGAATGGGTATGCATGTTTCTTTTAAGTAGATGATATGAAAGTGCACATACTACTTTCACTCACATTTTACTGACAAAAAGTCACATGGTCATAACCTAGCTGCACAAAAACACTGGTAGGTATATTCCATGCTAAAATTTTGGGAATATCCTTTTGTTACTTAATAGAAAAAAAAAGTACAAACATAAATGGGGGAAAGTTACTTGTCACTAGTACAAATATATTCAACAATTTAGATTGGATGCCTAAACAGGAAAGGAGAATCAAAGTTGAAATCAGTATTGAAAAGAAAAAATATAAAAATATATATAAAAAAAGACTTGGGAAAACAGAAATTCTTAGTCCATTTATGTAATAAAGATTTGGGGATGCATTGACACCTGGGTTGACTCTGACCATCGGGAACTTATGTAGCTTGTTGCTCATTTTTGGAAGTGTTGGGTATGCTAAGTTGAAGGTCGTGGCAGCAGGATGATTAAAAATTCCTTTAGGGTGGCAAACAGAGTTTCTCTCTTAGGTATTTCCTCCCTCATGAGCAGTCATATGCCTCTATGAGGAAACTTTGAAAAAACTGGTAAGCTTGTACTACTATGTATGAGCATGGAGAACTGTCTCCTATTTAGGTAATTATCTTCCTAAGTTTCCATTTCTTTTCCCATTAAAGAAACATTACTTCTTTAACTGTGCCTGTTTTACTGCCAAGCACAGTACTATCCTCTTGTGACAACCAAACTAACACTAAATTAAAGAAAAAGCTCTTGCTCAGAAACAACTAACAGTAGACAGTTGCCGGGAAAGCCTGATTAAGAAAAAAAGAGAAAGCAAAAGTATACAATTCTAGGATTGACCAGGAAGACATAACTACATATGTGGAAGAGACAAAAAGAATTATAGTAGAACATTACATGAGAAAAAAGCATTTTCTGGATAATACAAGAAAAAATAAGTGGGAGAAGAGAGACAACAGGCATTTCAGAGAAAAGCAAAACCGAAAGCCTAATTATTAACTTATATGGTGATTGACCTGATTGCTATTTAGGAAAATGCAAACTATAGCAACAATTAAGGTTTCCTTCAGATAAGAAAACACTAAAACTAAACTAAACTAAACTAATATCATCCAACATTAGTAAAGACAAAGAAACACTTTTATTAATTACAAATAGAAATGCAACAGTGTACATTAAATTATAAAATATACATCATTTTTTACTTTGAATTCTACTTTTGAAAAACTATACAAAAGAAACAAAAGCATTAATATCTCGAGATATTTGAACAGTAATATTTATTGTTGTAGCGTTATCTATAGAACAAAAGCTGGACATAGTTGAATGTCTATCAGTTCAAACAAGATTCATTAACTTGTTATTCAGACATGTAATGTACAACAATTAAAATAATGAAATTCTGTCATTTGAGGCAACATGGATAGGGCTGGAGGTCATTATGATAAGTGAAATGAGCCAGGAACAGAAAGCTAAATACCACTTGTTCTCACTCACATATGGAAGCTAGAAAAAAAACCGTTGATCTCACAGAACTAAAAGTAGAACAGATGATACTAGAGATTGGGAGGGGTAAGGGAAATGGAGAGACAGTGAGAGATTCGTTAAAGGAGACAAAATTACAGCTAGATAGGAGGAATAAGTTCTGGTGTTCTATGCCACTGTAGGATGATGATAGATAAAAATAACTTAGCTTCAAAAAATCAAAAGAAGGATATTGAAAGTACCCAACATGAAGAAGTAATAACAATTTGAGGTGATGAATATGCTAATTATGCTGGTCTCATTACCGTAAATTATATGTATTGAAACGTCACTATGTACCCCATGAATATATGCAATTATTATTTGTCAATTTAGAGATAAAATTGAAAAATAATGACATATCTATATTTATCTTTCTGTTTAGGTAATTAGGATGCATTTTTGTCAATACAAAAAACCTGACCCTTAAATTAATGTAATTTTTTGTTTTTCTATTTCAGATGAGATGAAGAATGAAGTGAAAGATAACTCTCCAAGATTTTAAGATAAGGTTCTTAAAAGTTATGGAGATGTTTGTGTGGGAAGAAATGTGAGATTATTTTATTTATATATCTGACTTTCCTATTTAATTCAATGACAAACATACTCTTTTGTCATTTAAAACATGAGGAAAAATTAATGACTGTAATCATAATTGGAAAAAGATATATGAAGATCGACTGGTAGGAGACAGAAAAGGAAGGAAGAGTTTATCAAACAGCTTTTTGTTAGAAGCACTGTCATTGAAGTCATCTGTAACCACAATGCTAAATCCAATGGTCAATTTATATTATTCATCATACTTGACCTATAAGCAGCGTTTGACACAGATAATCACTTCCTCCTTGTTGATAAACTTCACTAGTAGCTGCAGATGTCATATTTTCATTATTTTTCTTCGATCTCACTGGTTGCTCCTTCTTAATATGTTTCGGTCATTGCCTTCTCTTGCCCTTTATGGACAAGAAATTCTGATGTAGAATACCTCAAAAGTCAATCCATGGTCTTTTACCATTTTTATCTGTAATCATCAACTTCTTGATCTCATCTAGTCTTTTAGCTTTGTATACCATCTTATGTA